>NC_000009.12:31373636-31525151 GCF_000001405.40 Homo sapiens | reverse complement strand
TTTTATCACCTAATAAGGGTATCACATTGGATAGTGTTTCATGGACTTGAACTTCATATAATTGGAACCATACATCATACATTGTAAATACTTTATACAAGTATCATATATCATGTATCTTTTATACCTAAATTATTTTGTTCAACATAATGTTTTCAAATTTATCCATGTGTTTACATTTATCAGTAGTTCATTTTTTTTTTTTTGTTAATGGATGGGTAGTTTTCTATTCCATGAATACACCTTAATATATCGAATAATTCTGCTATTGGTGGACATTTGGGCTATTTCTAGTTTGAAGCTATTATTATTATAATTGCTTTAAACATTCTTGTTTAGAAAATGAGTCTCTTGAGAAACCTAAAAATGGAATTTTTGTGTCACAGAGTAGGTGTGAATTATGAACTGCAATGTTAAAATTTTAAAAGTTGTTGCTAAAGTATTTTATGACCACAACTGGACAGGCAATAAGAGTTCAAACTCTTGTAATAACTCAGAATCAACTATTTGAGTTTTATTTCTACAGTCTTAAGTCTGGATTTTTTTCATTAATTTATTTGATTTAATACAGAAAGAAAAGCAGTATTGTTGTATGGATGACCACAGAAGCTCAGTTGCCTTGTGACAGGTGAATCACCAGGAGAAACACTTTTCCTGATGGAAGGGATTGCACCCAAGCTCACTTTCAGATGGGAGAGACTCCCTTTCTTTCTCTAACGTGTGCATTCTTAACTTGGTTGATACCATTCTCAAGGGAGTAAAATGTGGTTCTTGCAATGAGGTTGTTCAAAAAAATCTTACTCTTTTTAAGTATAAAGCACATATATGCATGCAGTATGTTAACAAATGCAGTCTATTTGGGGGTATTACAATTTCATCAGTTGTGTTATCAGGAAGAAAATGTCAATAAAACTTCCTAAAGGGACAACAATGAAAATAAAATGGTTGGGGAGTAATGCTTTAATAGCTCAAATACAATTTCCCAGGCAACTATGTGCACTGCTATTTATATTTAGACTCTCTGGTGCCTAGGTCCCTTCCTTTTATACCTCGCTTTCAAGACTATTCACAGACTTGTACTATAAGAAGCTCTGTAACAGCAGACAGGGCCCTTCCCTGGAGCAGTACAACATGATACCTCTTCCAGCTTCACCTGGTTTTCATCTGGTCTCTCTGTGCCTTGATAAGATGAAAGAACAGTAGACTACCCTTGATAACCTGGGGTTTATGGGCTTCTTCACTATAAGGTACCCTTAACCCATGCCATGAGACATAGGGTTATTTTCCTGTACCCCCCATGTCAGAAATGTTGAAGCCGTTACTATATTCTATTTTGTACTTCATGAAAAATGAAAAGCAACCCATGTTCATTTGATTTTTGCATTTTTAAAAAACTTTTTTTGCCAAAAATCTGCTTTGAAATTCATATATTATTCTCATTGATTTCCTTTCCTAAAATTAGTAGTCTTACCCCTGATCCCAAGCCTGTGCTTCTTGTCAATTTTTTTTTTATTATTTATTATTTATTTTTATTTTTTACCATACCTAGAGAACATATATTTGGCTGTCTGGGTTTTCCCTGCTTTGCCTTACTCACTCAGAATATTGAGACTCTTTGATACTTCATTTCATTCCCCATTGTCAAATATTTACCTCAATAAACAGCAGAGATTTCTAGATCTCTTACAACAGGCCAAACCAACCCAAATTAGCTTTCCTTTATACTGAATATGTAAGTCTTGTACCACATCCCATTTTTTCCAGTTTACTCTGTTTGGATGCACATACATGGCAATGTTTAATAGTAAAATCCTCAAATCTGACAATGTAACTCTATTAAAAATGGAGGAAGCTGATTTAATACCTTTTTATCCTATGTTCTGTGTCAGATAATAAAAACTTTGCTATAGTACTTTCCTATGGACTTTTCAGAAAAGAAAGATAGGTATTGTTTGCCTCTTTCCCCAGGGACTCTAATTTCCCTTACTGTCATGGAATACGTGAGAGGCTCAGGGGAGGTACAGGTGGATTGTCTGAGGCTGGTTGAGTTCTAGGTTTTGAGAAGAGGAGAGAGGTGACCCTTAGGAATATGTGGGTTCCCTAACTCTTATAAATTGGCTGCTTTAAGGTTTATATTTCCCTCTTCCACACTGACCTAGGAATGGTAGGAACAATTAAGGGAGCACTTGGGTTTCTGGGAACTGAAATGTAAGTGTAGCACCTTGGGAATTAAAGCAATGAGAAAGCTGGGACTATGGCCAGAGAACCAGTACTGTATGCCTTTGAATAACCAATGTAACCTTGGACAATGAATATCTTTGTGTGGTCCATGGTGTATAAATTCGTTGTATTTCTTTAAGCTTTCCAAAGTTGGTAAGTATGGAGTCTTGCATGACTCTAAGGAAAGGAAAGGCCCTTCTGCAAAATAACTAATGTTAAATTTCTCACTAAATATTCAGAAGAGGGGAGAGATAAGGAAGCCATCGAAACCAAATTGAACTCACCTTTGGAACACAAAGAAACAGAGTTCATACACTCAAGTGCTGAGAAACAAATTTGTACTTATTTAAGAACATCTTACTCTGCTAGACTTTGATTATGCTCTCTTAAATAAACCATGAATCTTTAATTTTGTTTCATCTTATCTTTTTATTTTTCTTAAGATAGCATAGCACTTAATGCCACCTGATATTGCAATATGTTTCCTTACTGCTTTTATCCTTAACTAGTTTTAAACTCCATGAAGAGGAGGCTATGTCTTCTTTTTCACTACTTTATCCCCAGTGCTTACAATAGTGTCTGGCATAGAGTAGGTGTTCAATAAATATTTATTGATTAAATTAATATATTTCAGAAATTCTCATGGTAAAATGAAAGAGAAGATGATAAAGATATCAATCTATTTATTATGGAAATGTTTACAAGATGAAGCTTTCTAAGAAAATGAAAAATGGATATTCAGAAAATAACACTGATAACATTTACTCTTTTCAGTCTTTCTAGTACCTTCACTTTCTCTTTGTGGCTTATCTTTGTTCAGCTGATGATCCCTTGAAGGTATATCTGAAATTGGTAAAGTGCATGACTTTATCAGTTCACACTGTTTGACAATCTAGACTTCTAGTCAGTCTGAAGTGACTTTACGTTCTTGTTTGCATAGTGCCGAAATATGCCTTTTTTTTAAAAAAAAATCTGTATTTTATTTTCTCTCTATTTCTAATTTTTCAAGTAGCGATGGATCATTTGTATTTGATGGCTATTTACTATTATTTACCTTTATGTTCTATCTGGTATATTTACACTGATACTAGTAAGGCACTTTTAATGCACTTTGAAATGCAGAATTTATGCTAAGGAGACTACTATCGTCCAAATGTTTGTGTTCGCCCCCTCAAATGCATATCTTGAAATCCTCACCTCCAGAGTGATAGTATTAGGAGGTAGAACCTTTGGGAGCTGATTAGGTCGTGAGTAGGGAGCCCTCATAAATGGGATTAGCGCCCTTATTAAAAAAAAAGAGACTCCGAGGGAGGTTGTTTGCCCCTTCTACCACATGAGGATACAGCGAGATGGCACAATCTATGAGGAAGCAAGCCCTTGCCAGACACTGAGTCTGTAGATATCTTGATCTTGGACCTCTCAACTGTAAGAAATAAATTCCTGGTGTTTATGAACTACCCAGTTTATAATATTGTATTATAGCAGGCCAAAAAGACTAAGACAGGAACTAAGATAGCTTTCTTTGTCTAAAGTGAGCCATCAAATAAACGTGAGACAGGAGAAAATATTGTGAAGTTTGAAGAAGAAAATTTAAAAATAGGAGTCAGTGGGAATTTGGCCCAAACCTACCCAGATTCAAATTCCAACTAACTCTTACAGGAATGCTTGCACCCTGAAGAAAAGAGAAAATCAGTGAGCTACGTGGTTTTTCTTCACCATACAATTTCACCTTGTTAGGTATCTCTCCAATGGAACAATTTTATTAGTTATCTAATACTTAATAACATATCTTTTGCAAAGATTACTACCTTAATCCAACCATACTAACTTGATATGTCTCACAGTGTCCCTGGGTCAGGAATTTTAAAGAGATTTGACTGGGAAGTTTTGACTCAGGGTACCTCCTGAGGGTGTAGTCAGATGTTGGCATGGGCTACAGACACCTGAAAATTTGATTAAAGTTGAAGTGTTCATTTTCAGGTCATGCTGCTGCAAAGCTGGCAAATTAGTGCTAGATGTTACCAAGAGGCTTCAGTTCCTTTTCATGAAAGCCTCTCAATGTGGCTGCTTAAATGTCCTCACGACAGGATGGGCTTCCCCCATAGTAAGCAGTCCTAAAGACCAAAGCAGAAATTACAATGCCTTTTATTAACTGGAAATCACACTTGACAATATTTATTGGTCACAGAGATCAATCCTACTTCTATGTGGGAGGAGATTAGACAAGTTTATGAACACAAGAGAGCAATAATCACTGGAGTTCATCTTGTGGGCTGACTTTTACCATGATCATACTTAAAACAGAATTAGTGAGAGAGAAAGCAGAGAGAGATTTTTCCAGCTGTGATAGCCCTCATTATTAACTACACTAACAGTTTTCTTTCTGTTGTCTGTACTGATCATCAGGTTCTACAGCATGCAGCCCTGGAGTACCTTAGGTAATGTTCAAGTACACATTCAGACAGACATGAAGGAAGTAGAATACACTGAAAGTACCTTCTTTTTCTTTGCTTCTTCTTTTTTAAAATATATCAATCTTGCTAAAGTTGACCTGTTCTCACTTAAATACTAAAAAGGAAGAAAACAAATGACAGAATAGAATAATAATCGTACCACATTTGCTTTTCCCGTTTTTCTTCTTTCTCTTCAACTATCATTTTCTGCCTTCTCCAATCTCCTCAAGTCTCTAAGCATTCTCCTGTTTCCTGACTAAGCTTCTATGTTTGTTAAACTAAGAAACTAAGTTTATCAGTTTGTTACCAAACTCACTTTTATAAGATTAAACTCACTTGTCTACATCTGTGGCATATTTCTCTCCTATTTTGTTATTAGGAAAGAGAAATGTGTTTTAGCTACTATCATGTGTGCATATTTCTTATGCACTCGAATGCCTTCCCTGTTACTCAACAAAATGACCCCAGCAACTATTTCCGTTCTTTCCTCAATATTCAAGGTTTTTTCTTTCTTTCTTTCTTTTTTTTTAAACTGGCTCATGGCAATCAGCCTATAAACATGCTGTTAAATTTACCATTGTATTTGCTTTTTTCCCATATTCATCTTCAAATGTTTCCATTTATCTTTTCCCTTTTAAGAAACCTCTTGAGGAGACCTAGCAAGATAGCCCAGTAGGAATGGCTCCAGTCTGTAGCTCCCAACGAGATAAATGCAGAAGGTGGGTGATTTTTGCATTTCTAACTGAGATATCTGGTTCATCTCACTGGGACTGGTTAGACAGTGGGTGCAGCCCACAGAGGTCAAGCCGAAGCAGGGTGGCCGTTGCCTCACCCAGGAAGTGCAAAGGGTCAGGGAACTCCTTCCTCTAGCCAAGGGAAGCCTTGAGGGACTGTGCTGTGAGGAACTGTGCACCCTGGCCCAGATATACACGTTTCCCATGGTCTTTGCAACCCACAGACCAGGAGATTCCCTCGGGTGCCTACACCACCAGGGGCTTGTGTTTCAAGCACAAAACTGGGTGGCCATTTGGGCAGACACAAAGCTAGCTGCAGGAATTGTTTTCCATACCCCAGTGGCACCTGGAATGCCAGTGAGACAGAACCGTTCACTCCCCTGAAGCCAGGGAGCCAAGTGGCCTAGCTCAGCAGATCCCAACCCACGGAGCCCAGCAAGCTAAGATCCACTTGCTTGAAATTCTTGCTGCCAGCTTAGCAGTCTGAAGTCAACCTGGGACACTTGAGCTTGGTCGGGGGAGGGGCGTCCGCCATTACTGAGGTTGAGTAGCTAGGTTTTCCCCTTACTGTGTAAACAAAGCCCTGGGGAAGTTCCAACTGGGCGGAGCCCTCCACAGCTCAGCAAAGCCACTGTAGTCAGACCACCTTTCTAGATTCCTCCTCTCTGGGCAGGGCATCTCTGAAAGAAAGGCAGCAGCCACAGCCAGGGGCTTATTGATAAATTACCATCTCCCTGGGACAGAGCACCTGGGGGAAGGGGCAGCTGTGGGCACAGTTTCAGCAGACTTGAACGTCCCTACCTGCTGATTCTGTGCAGCGGATCTCCCAGCACAGCGTTTGAGCTCTGCTAAGGGTCAGACTGCCTCCTTAAGTGGGTCCCTGACCCCCGTGTCTCCTGACTGGGAGACACCTCCCAGCATGGGCCAACAGACACGTCATACAGGAGAGCTCTGACTAGCATCTGGTGGGTGCCCCTCTGGGATGAAGCTTCCACAGTGAGGAACAGGCAGAAATCTTTGCCGTTCTGCAGCCTCTGCTGGTGATACCCAGGCAAACAGGGTCTGGAGTGGACCTCCAGCAAACTCCAGCAGAGTTGCAGCAGAGGGACCTGACTATTAGAAGGAGAACAAACAGAAAGGAATAGCACCAAATCAACAAAAAGACGTCCACTCAGAAACCCCATCCGAAGGTCACCAACATGAAAGACCAAAGGTAGATAAATCCGTGAAGATGGGGAGAAACAGGCGCAAAAAGGCTGAAAA
Organism: Homo sapiens; assembly: GCF_000001405.40. Classification (NCBI taxonomy): domain Eukaryota; kingdom Metazoa; phylum Chordata; class Mammalia; order Primates; family Hominidae; genus Homo; species Homo sapiens. The sequence goes on along the minus strand of NC_000009.12, from coordinate 31,518,481 downwards.
TTCCAAAAACCAGAACACCTCTTCTCCTCCAAAGGATCACAACTCCTCACCAGCAAGGGAACAAAAGTGGATGGAGAATGAGTTTGATGAATTGACGGAAGTAGGCTTCAGAAGGTGGTTAATAACAAACTCCTCCGAGCTAAAGGAGCATGTTCTAACCCAATGCAAAGAAGCTAAGAACCTTGAAAAAAGGTTAGAGGAATTGCTATCTAGAATAAACAGTTTAGAGAAGAGCATAAATGACCTGATGCAGCTGGAAAACACAGCAAGAGAACTTCGTGAAGCATACACAAGAATCAATAGCTGAGTCAATCAAATGGAAGAAAGGATATCAGAAATTGAAGATCAACTTAATGAAATAAAGCATGAAGACAAGATTAGAGAAAAAAGAATAAAAAGGAACAAACAAAGCCTCCAAGAAATATGGGACTATGTGAAAAGACCAAACCTACGTTTGACTGGTGTATCTGAAAGTGACGGGGAGAATGGAACCAAGTTGGAAAACACTCTTCAGGATATTATTCAGGAGAATTTCCCCCAACCTAGCAAGAGAGGCCAACATTCAAATTCAGGAAATACAGAGGACACCACAAAGATACTTCTCGAGAAGAGGAGCCCCAAGACACATAATCATCAGATTCACCGAAGTTGAAATGAAGGAAAAAATGTTAAGGGCAGCCAGAGAGAAAGGTCAGATTACCCACAAAGGGAAGCCCATCAGACTAACAGTGGGTCTCTCTGCAGAAACCCTACAAGCCAGAAGAGAGTGAAGGCCAATATTCAACATTCTTAAAGAAAAGAATTTTTGAATCAGAATTTCATATCCAGCCAAACTAAGCTAACTAAATAAAATCCTTTACAGAAAACCAAATGCTGAGAGATTTTGTTACCACTAGGACTGCCTTATAAGAGCTCCTGAAGGAAGCTTTACACATGGAAGGGAACAACTGGTACCAGCCACTGCAAAAACATAGCAAATTGTAAAGACCATTGACACTATGAAGAAACTGCATCAACTAATGGACAAAATAACCAGCTAGCATCATAATGACAGGATCAAATTTACACATAACAATATGAACCTTAAATGTAAACTGGCTAAATGCCCCAGTTAAAAGACACAGACTGGCAAATTAGATAAAGAGTCAAGACCGATCAGTGTGCTGTATTCAGGAGACCCATCTCATATGCAAAGACACACATAGGCTCAAAATAAAGGGATGGAGAAATATTTATCAAGCAAAAACAAGAACAACAAAAACAAAACAAAACAAAAAAACAGGGGTTGCAACCCTAGTCTCTGATAAAACAGACTTTAAACCAGCAAAGATCAAAAGAGACAAAGACAGGCATTACATAATGGTAAAAGGGTCAATGCAACAAGAAGAGCTAACTATTCTAAATATATGTGCACCCAATATAGGAGCACCTAGATTCATAAAGCAAGTTCTTAGAGACCTACAAAGAGACTTAGACTCCCACACAATAATAGTGGAAGAATTTAACAACCAACTGTTAATATTAGACAGATCAAAGAGACAGAAGATTAACAGGGATATTCAGGACTTGAACTCAGCTCTAGACCAAGTGGCCTAATAGACATCTACAGAACTCTCCACCCCAAATCAACAGAATATACATTCTTCTCAGCAGCACATCGCACTTATTCTAAAATTAACCACATAATTGGAAGTAAAACACTCCTCAGCACATGCAAAAGAATGGAAATCATAACAAACAGTGTCTCAGACCACAGTGCAATCAAATTAGAACTCAGGATTAAGAAACTCACTCAAAACTGCACAACTACATGGAAACTGAACAATGTGCTCCTGAATGGCTACTGGGTAAATAATGAAATTAATGCAGAAATAAATAAGCTCTTTGAAACCAATGAGAACAAAGACACAACATACCAGAATCTCTGGGACACAGCTAAAGTAGGGTTTAGAGGGAAATTTATAGCACTAAATGACCACAGGAGAAAGCAGGAAAGATCTAAAATTGACACTCTAACATCACCATTAAAAGAACTAGAGAAGCAAGAGCAAACAAATTCAAAAGCTAGCAGAAGACAAGAAATAACTAAGGTCAGAGCAGAACTGAAGGAGATAGAGACACAAAAAACTCTTCAAAAAATCAATGAATCCAGGAGCTGGTTTTTTGAAAAGATCAACAAAATAGATAGACCACTAGCCAGACTAATATAGAAGAAAAGAGAGAAGAATCAAATAGATGCAATAAAAAATGATAAAGGGGATATCAACACTGATCCCACAGAAATACAAACTACCATCAGAGAATGCTATAAACACCTCTATGCAAATGAACTAGAAAATCTACAAGAAATGGATAAATTCCTGGACACATACACCCTCCCAAGTCTAAACCAGAAAGAAGTCAAATCCCTGAATAGACCAATAACAAGTTCTGAAATTGAGGCAATCATTAATAGCCTACCAACCAAAAAAAGTTCAGGACCAGATGGATTCACAGCCAAATTCTACCAGAGGTAAAGGAGGAGCTGGTACCATTCTTTCTGAAACTATTCCAAATAATAGGAAAAGACAGACTCCTCCTTACCTCATTTTGTGAGGCCAGCATCATCCTGATATCAAAACCTGGCAAAGACACGACAAAAAAAGAGAATTTCAGGCCAATATCCCTGATGAACAGCGATGCAAAAATCCTCAGTAAAATACTGGCAAACCAAATCCAGCAGCACCTGAAAAAGCTTATCCACCATGATCAAGTCGGCTTCATTTCTGGGATGCAAGCCTGGTTCAACATACGCAAATCAATAAACGTAATCCATCACATAAACAGAACCAATGAGAAAAACTACATCATTATCTCAATAGATGCAGAAAAGGGCTGCAATAAAATTCAACACCCCTTCATGCTGAAAACTAGTTATTGATGGAACATATCTCAAAATAATAAGAGCTATTTATGACAAACCCACAGCCAATATCATAATGAATGGGCAAAAACTGGAAGCATTTCCTTTGAAAACCAGCACAAGACAAGGATGCCTTCTCTCACCACTCCTATTCAACATAGTATTGGATGTTCTGGCCAGGAAAATCAGGCAAGAGAAAGAAAGAAAGGATATTCAAACAGGAAGACAGGAAGTCAAATTTTCTCTGTTTGCAGATGACATGATTATATATTTAGAAAACCCCATCATCTCAGCCCAAAATCTTCTTAACTGATAAGCAACTTCAGCAGTCTCAGGATACAATATCAATGTGCAAAAATCACAAGCATTCCTATATGCTGATAATAGACAAACAGAGAGCCAAATCATGTGTGAACTCCCATTCACAATTCCCACAAAGAGAATAAAATACCTAGGAATACAACTTACAAGGGATGTGAAGGACCTCTTCAAGAAGAACTACAAATCACTGCTCAAGGAAATAAGAGAGGACACAAACAAATGGAAAAACATTCCATGCTCATGGATAGAAAGAATGCATATCGTGAAAATGGCCATACTGCCCAAAGTAATTTATAGATTCAATGCAATCCCCATCAAGCTACCATTGACTTCCATCATAGAATTAGAAAAAAACTACCTTAAATTTCATATGGAACAAAAAAAGAGCCTGCATAGCCAAGACAGTCCTAAGCAAAAGGCACAAAGCTTGACGCATCATGCTACCTGACTTCAAACTGTACTACAAGGTTACAGTAACCAGAACAGCATGGTACTGCTACCAAACAGATATATATAGACCAGTGGAACAGAACAGAGGCCTCAGAAATAACACCACACATCTACGACTATCTGATCTTTGACAAACCTGACCAAAACAAGCAATCGGGAAAGGATTCCCTATTTCATAAATGGTGTTGGGAAAACTGGCTAGCCATATGCAGAAAACTGAAACTGGAACCCTTCCTTACACCTTATACAAGAATTAACTCAAGATGAATTAAAGACTTCAACGTTAAGACCTAAAACCATAAAAATCCTCGAAGAAAACCTAGGCAATACCATTCAGGCCATAGGCATGGGCAAAGACTTTATGACTAAAACACCAAAAGCAATGGCAACAAAAGCCAAAATTGACAAATGGGATCTAAATAAACTAAAGAGCTTCTGCACAGCAAAAGAAACTATCATCAGAGTGAACAGACAACCTACACAGTGGGAGAAAATTTTTGCAATCTGTCTATCTGACAAAGGGCTAATATCCAGGATCTACAAAGAACATAAGCATATTTACAGGAAAAACAGGTTGGGCATGGTGGCTCACACCTGTAATCCCAGCACTTTGGGAGGCTGAGGCGGGCAGATCACGAGGTCAGGAGATCGAGACCATCCTGGCTAACATGGTGAAACCCCATCTCTACTAAAAATACAAAAAAAAATTAGCCGGGAGTGGTGGCGGGCACCTGTAGTCCCAGCTACTCAGAAGGCTGAGGCAGGAGAATGGTGTGAACCTGGGAGGCAGAACTTGCAGTGAGCTGAGATTGCACCACTGCACTCCAGCCTGGGCAACAGAGCAAGACTCTGTCTCAAAAAAAAAAAAAAAAAATTACAGGAAAAACAACCCCAGCAAAAAGTGGGTGAAGGATCTGAACAGACACTTCTCAAAAGAAGACATTTATGCAGTCAACAAACATATGAAAAAAAGCTCATCATCACTGGTCATTAGAGAAATGCAAATCAAAACCATAATGAGATACCATCTCATGTCAGTTAGAATGGCGATCATTCAAAAGTCAGGAAACAACAGATGCTGGAGAGGGTGTGGAGAAATAGGAACACTTTTACACTGTTGGTGGGAATGTAAATTAGTTCAACCACTGTGGAAGACAGTGTGGCAATTCCTCAAGGATCTAGAACCAGAAACACCATTTGACCAAGTAATCCCATTACTGAGTATGTACCTGAAGGTTTATAAATCATTCTACTATAAAGACACATGCACACATATGTTTATTGCGGCACTGTTCACAATAGCAAAGACTTGGAACCAACCCAAATGCCCATCAGTGATAAACTGGATAAAGAAAATGTGACACATATACACCATGGAATACTATGCAGCCATAAAAAGGTTGAGTTCATGTCCTTTGCAGGGACATGGATGAAGCTGGAGACCATCATTCTCAGCTAACCGACACAAGAACAGAAAACTAAACACCGCATGTTCTCACTCATAAGTGGGAGTTGAACAGTATGAACACATGGATACAGGGAGGAAAACATCTTACACTAGGGCCTGGCAGGGGTTGGGCGGCTAGGGGAGGGATGGCGTTAGGGGAAATACCTAATGTAGATGATGGATTGATGTGTGCAGCAAACCAGCATGCCACATGTGTCCCTATGTACCAAACCCGCACTTTCTGCACGTATACCCTATAACTTAAAGTATAATAATAATAATAAAACCTCTTGAAAAGAGTTATGTGTATCTGCAGTCTCCAATTCTTCCCTCCCTTTCTCTCTTGACTGACTTCATTTGAGTTTTTATTCTTATTGCTCTACTGAAACAGCCCTTGTAAAGGCCAGTGGTAAGTGTTATATACTACGTCCAAAGGTCAGTGCTAAGCTCTTGTTACATGGTATTAGTAGCATTGACACAATCAATCACATTCTCCTCCTCAAAATATTTCCCCTATTAGGCTTCCTGGTCTACTATGCACTCTTCCATTTTCTACGTGTAACACTAACTGTAGACAATGAATGTGGAACGGGTTTTTCTAGAGTGTCAAACAACAATCATCAGATCAACAAAATATTTTTATAACTTTTTTAGTGATTGTTTAGTAGTCGACTGTGTAAACATACTGTAATTTATTTAACCAATACCCCACTGTTTAGCAATTAACTTGATTCTGTCGATAAATGTCTAGCCAGGTTGGGCGATGAGAGATGGAAATGTAAAGAAAGACTGAGACATGACATTTTGTAGCAAGTATCTTTAAATGGTGGCATTTTTACATATGTTTATTTTTATGTACCAAGCTGTTTTGGGATTTGTGCATAAAACTATGAACAAGTTAGAAACTATCTCTAATATCACTGATTTTTGAATTCTAGTAAATGATTTTTATAATCTGCATTTCTTCAATTTCAAATTATCTTCAATGAATGTAATTACAAGTATACTAACAAAAAATGTAAAAATAATTTTAACAACTATTATGATGCAAAGTTTGTTTGAACTTTGGGGGAGATGATCTAATTTGGTGCTTTAGAGGGGTAAGTGGTAACTAAGTAGCCAAGAGTTAATTTGATAAATAAAAATCAATTCCTTTATGGTATACTTCAAGGAGATCATAAGTGGCATTCACCTAAGATCACAGTAAGGAATAACGAAGAGTAGCTAACTAGATTATGGTACTCAGGAGGGGTTCCCAACTGTATTAGTCTGTTTCCATGCTACTAATAAAGCCATACCCAAGACTGGGTAATTTACAAAGGAAAGAAGTTTAACGGACTCATAGTTCCACGTTGCTGGAGAGGCCTCACAATTATGGCAGAAGGCAAGGAGGAGCAAAGCCACGTCTTACGTGGCAGCAGGCAAGACAGCTTGTGTAGGAGAACTCCCCTTTATAAAACCATCAGATATTGTGAGACTTATTCACTATCATGAGAACAGCACAGGAAAGACCCACACCCATGATTCAATTACCTCCCACTGGGTCCCTCCCAAGACATGTGGGAATTATGGTAGCTACAATTCAAGATGAGATTTGGGTAGAGACGTAGCCAACCATATCACCAACCTTCTTCACTGGGAAGTGGAACTAAGTGAGCTGATATGCCCAAGTTATATAGCATTGTTCCCTCTAACATGTAGGTGATGGCTCACATCCGTTATGTGTTGTTTTATTCATAGACTTAGGATCCTGTTGATTTGTTTACATTATTTTGTTTTTATTGTCTTTTTTTCTGTTAGAAGAAAATATAGGAGGACATAGTAAATATTACATTAGCTGTAAAGAGAAAAATAGCTATTTCATCACTAACCCGTAAAGATTTTCCTATCTGCCTTCAACACTGGATGCATATATACTATGGGTAAATAAATTAACAGCATCTAATGGTGAAATAGGGTCTAGTATGTTGGATGGAATTGTCAAAAATCTCCCTGTCAGAACAGAAAAAGCAACACACTACCAAAGTCTTGCATGCACTTTGTTTTGGTTGTAGGTAAAATGTATGGAAATTCAAGTTTGAGGTCTCTCAGAAATTCTGATTGTTAAAAATTAGTATGCACACTTTAATGTTTGGCACACAGCATATTTACTTCTTAATTTTAATCCTTTCAATTTAATTTAGACAATTCCAGTAATGAAAAAATTGGGAATGATTAGAAAAAAATATAGGAATACTCTATAATATTTTTATATGGGGAATGTAAGTATAAAAATAGAACACTCAATCAATATAAAATACAAGAGCTTTACAGTGAGGGAGACTGATAAGATCTGCCTTAGCAAGAGTGGTAAGTGAGTGTTAGTTATTTACGGCCCTCAGTAAGGTTTTATTGTCAGTTCAAAGACAAGTAAGTACCTGTATTATATTACCAGACTAAAAAGCATAACAATCCTTATGAAAAATATCTTAAAACCTTACATGTAGAATGTCCACTATGTTTAGTCAGCCTCTCTGATATTCACATCAAGTATGTGCATTATAATCCACACTCTTGTTCTTCACCTTTCTTCTGATTCACAATTATTTCTGTTTGATTTGGAACAGGATTGGGATCATTAGTATTACAAAAATGTTCTTCCCTATTTACAGTCAATAAATTCACTGGAGAGTTTTGCCTGCACGGTGATTGTTTGATTAGGCACACCTGAAAAATCATAAAAGAAAGAAGCCCAAATAAGAGGGAATCTTTTTATTTTTTGCTGGACAATCAAGTGTAGACATGAAAAAGAATGACTAGGTTTACTCAGGCTATAGAAGTGAAGCTTTTATTTAAAAACATGACTCCATGATACTTATTGGCACTTGTGTTACCCACAGCAGAGACCAGAATCCTAATGTATTCAAGGTGAGCAGAAGAATCCTAATGTATTCAAGGTGAGCAAAAGCTGGTCTAAAAGAAAAAGATAATTATTTAATAATTTAAATAGCTAATTCTGGTAATAAATACTTATCCAAATTTTCTTACCCAATGAATAAAGAACAAACCAGGAAATTTGATCTTCCTATAGAAATATACATTGATAATTTTAATTGTAAAGATATAAAGAGTAAATCAGTTGGAATATTATTGAGATGGGGGAAGGATTAGTGTGTACATCCACAAATTTCAGTGATTAATTGTAGCCTAGAAAGAGAGAAACTAAGAAGAAATGTTTGGGCTTTTCACCCAAAAGTAGATAAAATAAGCTACTTAGCACATTTAAAATTAATTAATCAGTACTTAAATAAGTTATTAGATTCCCATTAGTGGTAGACATTTTCATAGACATATTAAGGGATAGTAGTTATAAAAAAAAGATATGGGCCCTGTCTCTATACGTTCAGTCTGCAATTGGTATAATCTGTGCTTTGATGTGCACTTTTGACAGTCAAAGCCACAGTCTTATAGGGGTATTTTAAAATATAAATGTCATACATATGCTAGTAATAGTAATTTATTACATTATTTATTGGGGACTAGTTAGTGGTACAGCATTATATTACAAGTAAATTAAGTGAGATTATGATGTTGAATATATATATATATGTAAAGTAAAATGTTTACATTATTACAAAATGTTGAAAATATATATATATATATATATATATATATATATATATATATATATGTATACACCTTCCACTATTACCAGAAGTGCTAATCCTACAGCAGTTTTCTAGCAGCCAATATAAATGTGGTGCTTGATGTTAGGTTAACATTTAGTGTTAATAAAGCATATAATAGCTGATGCTGATGTTATGCCCTCTAAGCATTGTAATGAAGTTATTATATGGGATAAATTAAAATACTTAAAGAGGGTTATTATAAAAGCTATTGAAATGTTTATATAAATGTGAATATCAGGTAATTATGGTGTAATCATAATCTAAGGTGTCAAAATTGTCTTATTAAGCTACCTAATTTTAGCCTTACCAGTTTGTTTTTAATTCATCTGTAGGCTAAGTCTGTGACTCATAGTATCACAGGAATTACTGTTTTAATAAGCATTATTTATAGGTTAATTTCTTGAGAATTCCAAGGTAGTTGGAATAATAAGAGTAAAATTTGAGGCTCAAATAGTAACAATTTCACTGATACCAGGAAGGATTTTGTTAAATGCTTTTGGTGGGACAGTTCTAGATTTTCAAATCCAAATTCACTGGATTTGTTTTTTTTTCTCTAAGTAATAATTGTAGCAATCAGAAGGTGAAATTACTATTATGGAAGCTAAACTGTATTAAATAGTTTTGATACTATTAGATTATTTTTCTTAGACTTAAAAGTAACAGATTTGGAGTTAGTTGTACTAATTAATAAAATAAAAATATGATTGTCATCAACACACTGTTATATAGGAAATAAGGATATTATAGGGATGTGGGGAGCAAAATGGCAGCTCCATTGATCATCCCTCTGCAAGTACACCAATTTAATAACTATATACACAAGAAAAGCACCTTCATAAGAACCAGAAATTAGGGGAGCACTCACAATATCTGGTTTGAACTTTGTATCACTGAAAAAGGCACTGAAGAGGTAGAAAAAACAGTTTTGAATCACTAATGCCACCTCTCAACCCCTCGCAGCCGTGGTTTGGTGCTCAGAGTGTTTCTGTGTGCTGGAGGAGGGAGAGAGCAGCAATTTTGAGCCATTGAACTCAATGCTGCCTTGTTACAGCAGAAAGAAAAAACAGGCCAAACTCAGCTGATTCCCACCCAATAAGGGAACATTTAAAGCAGTCCTAGCAAGAGGAGAACCATTGATCCCAGTGGTCCCAACTTGAGTTTCTAAAACCTTGTCACCAGGGGCTAAATTGCTCTGCACTTCTAAATAAACTTGAAAGGCAGTCTAGGCCACAGGGACTGCAACTTTTACATGAGAGGGACCAGAACCAGACTCGAGGGGCACATGACCTACTGAGACACCAGCTAGGGCAGCTAAAGGAGTGCTGGCATAACCTCTCCCACAACCCCAGGCTGCACAGTTTGTGGATCCAAAAGAAACCCCTTCTTTCCACCTAAGGAGAGGAGAGGGAAGAAAGAGAAGAACTTTGTCTTGCATCTTGGAGACCAGCTCAATCACAGCAGGACCGGGCACTGGTCAGAGTCACCAGTCTCACTATCCAGGCCCGAGGTCCTGATCAACATTTCTAGACACTCCCTGTGCCAGAAGGACACCTGCTGCCTTAAAGAGAAGGACAAAGTCCTGGTAGGATTCATCTCCTGCTAACTGAAAAGCTCTTGGGCCCTGAGTAACCAGCAGCAGTACCCAGTTGCTATGTGGAGGGCCTTAGGTGAGGCTCTGAGACTTGCCAGCTTTAAGTGAGACTGAGCTCATTCTCAGCTATGGTGGCTATTGGAGACTCCTTGTGCTTGAGAAAACCACAGGGAAAAATAAAGGGGACTTTGTTTTGCACTTTAGGTACCAGTTCAGCCAAGTTGAGTAGAGTACCAAGTGGACTGTTGGGGTCCTCGGTTCCAGAACTTGATTTTTGGATGGCATTTCTAGACCTTCCCTGAGCCAGAGGGGAGCCCAGTGCCTTGAAGGGTGAGTCTCAAGCCAGGCAGCATTCACTACAAGCTGACTGAAGAGCACTTGCGCCTTAAGGAAAGACTGGCATTAGTCTGGCAGTACTTTCCATGGGCCTGGTAAAAAAGAAAAGACAGGCAATAACATGCTCGTGAGGATGTGGAGGAAAAGAATCCTCGTACACTGGTGGGAATGTCAATTAGTACAACCTCCACTATGTCAATTAGTACAGTCTCCACTGTGGAGAACAGTTTGGAGGGTCCTCAAAAAAATAAAAGTAGAGCTACCTTAGGAACCAGCAATCCTATTGCTGGGAATCCACAAAAAAGAAAGGAAATCAGTATATAGAAGAGATATCTACATTCCCATGTTTGCTGCAGCACTGTTCCCAATAGCCAAGATTTGAAAGCAACCTAAGTGTCCATCAGGGGATAAATGGATAAAGAAAATGTGGTACGTATATACAATGAAGACTATTCAGCCATAAAAAGAATGCGATCCTGTCATTTGCAACAACGTGGATGGAACTGGAGATCAGTATGTTAAGTGATTCAAGCCGGGAACAGATAGACAAACATTGTATATTCTCACTAATTTGTAGAATCTAAATATCAAAACAATTGAACCCATGGACACAGAGTTATAAGGATGATTTCCAGAGGCTGGGAAGGGTAGTGGGTGGGGTTGGGTGTGAGGGTGTGGGGATGGTTAATGAGTACAAAAAATATAGAAAGAATGAAAAATACCTATTCTTTGATAGTACAACAGGGTGACTATAGTCAATAACTTAATTGTACATTTTGAAATAACTAAAAGACTATAATTGGACTGTTTTTAACACGAAGGGTAAAAGCTTGAGGGGACGGATCCTTCATTCTCCATGATGTGATGATTATTAATACCTAGTATTTGATAGCACACAACAGGGTGACTATAGTCAATAATTTAATTGTACATTTTAAAATAACTACAAGACTATAATTGGATTGTTTGTAACACAAAAGATAAATACTTGAGAGGATGGATACCCCACTTTCCATGATACCTATATCAAAATGTCTCATGTACCTCATAAATATATACACCTACTATATACCCACAAAAATTAAAAATTAAAATAGTAAAGAGTTATATGACAATTAAGAGGGTCTGTATTAGGGTGAGTTTCAAAACTAAAATGATTAAAAGTGAAGCAAAATGTTATTTGACATAGAAAACATATAATTAAAGCTTTAGCAGTAATTACACACAATCTATGAAATCCATTTTGTCAAAAATAATATTGAGTCATAGAGGTCATTAGAACTAGTGTATAATGTTTCATAATAATTCTGAGGTTTCTCATAATGTAAACATCTAGTGTAGTGTTGATAAACAGTTCTGGTAATGTTTCATTTTGATTTCTTTTTTTCAGATTGTGGGAGTGCGGGGTGGTCCAAGTGATAGCTACTCCAGCAACTAGAAGGATAAAAGTGTTAAGAAATGATACTGCTAATGGATATAGTAGTTTAGTGTTTTAATACATGCTAGTGATCAGACTCTACCAAGTTTTGGTATAGGGGCTATATTTGAATGAAAGATAAAAAATACCCTGTAATAAAAAATATTTCTAGCACATTGAAGGGGATTATTTCATATGTAAGTTCTTTTTGTGCAACTGACCTCTAGGGACCTGTGAAAGTAGTCTCTTAAACACCATCTCTTTATTTATAGCCTATTGCTTGTGCATTATTTAATAGTATGACTATTACTAGAAATGATAAATTAAATGGAGTCTAGCAGATAAGCCTCCTCTTAGTGGCCAAAGGCTTAATTTTATTATATGATTAGCATGTTAGTTAATAGGTGTTATTTGTAAATATAGGCTTCCTGAAGATGTGAAGATATATGATTGAATTCAGCTAACTGTGGACTCTAAAACCATAAGAAGTACTAAAATAATAAACCTGATCGAGACTACTGATGGGCTAATTGGTAATAGGGCTAATGCAGCTCCTCTAACTAGGTGAATTAACAAGTGGCAAACTGTAATGTTTGCTGCAAACCGTAATGCTAAAACTATTTGTTAAATATTCCAGGAATGATCATGATGACAAAGATAGACACACATATAGCAGGTGTTTCTTGGGATATAAAATACTCTGATAAGGCTTCATTTTTATGATGAAAACAAAAAATAACTGTTTCTGCCCATAGTGAGATGGTCATTCCTAAATTTGCTGTGAATTGCTTGGCTTAGGTAACTGTGTGAGGTATGGGTACTAGCAGGACTGAAGTTTCAGTAAATGGAATGAGATTAAATTGATGTTAGAGATAAAACCTGTGCCAAGTCTCTATGAGTTAACACTTGCTACTTTAAAATTAGTCTATCTGCTGTTAGCATCTAATTACAATTTGTAATAAGATGGTTTGGTGAAAGAAATGCATTTATTGAGAAAATAATAAAGTTTACAATACCTAGTCCTACTATTGCTGGAGGACAGAGGCAGATAAAAATTATCTCTTACTTTGTTACTCAGTATTGATGTTTCAAGTGTTACGGGTGAGGGTGATAGTTCAAAACTACAAGCATAAAAATTTTCATTAAAAATATCACTAGAATTATTGATAATATATTAGTAGTTTATAGTACTGTATCTAATTGTGGTATTTCATTTGCAAGGGATTTAAGTTCTCCATCTTTAACTTTAATAATTAATGATAATTTATCTCCCCTATGAATTTATAGCACTGATATGGGTCAGTTTTCAAACTATTCTAAAGTACTACCTCGAGCACAAAGTCCATGAAGGTATAATTTGAGTTACATAGTTTAAGAGCATTGTTTATAATGTCAAGTCTAGTAAACGTTAATACTTCTCACTTTATTTGTCCTGGAAAAGCAACTGTTCTAAATATAAAGAAGGAGCAGCTCATGAATGAAGCACATCTTCTGATGAGGTTAATGTTTAGATGGCAGTTCTGTGAGGATTACTACATGAATATCAATTTCTATAGACATAATTATCTTCGTCTGAATCAAAGTTAAGAATTTCATAGTCTCTATAATCATAAATTCAATTCATTGTCATCTTGTTGTTTCTGCAGTTAGGAATGGATTATGGAGGCTGGGCCCAGTGGTCCAGGCCTGTACTCTCAGCACAATGGGAGGCCAAGGTGGGTGGAAACCTTGAGCCCAGGAGTTTGAGACTGGCCTGGTCAACATGGCAAAACCTTGTCTCTACAAAAAATACAATGATTAGTTGGGTGTGGTATCACGTGCCTGTAGTCTCAGCTACTCAGGAGGCTGAGATAGGAGAATTGCCTGAACTTGGGAGGTCGAGACTGCTGTGCACTCCAGCCTGGGTGATAGAGCAAGACCCTGTCTCAAAAGAAAAATAAAAAAAGGAATGAGTTATTACTCCACAATTAAATATTCATAATTTCATAATAATGGAAGATCAATAAGAATTAAAATAATTAAAGGTAAGATGTGCATACTGTTTCTAATTCTTAAGCATCTGTGGTGCTTTTGTGAGTTAATTTTGTGTTTAATATTAGATATATAATACCAAATACCAAAGAGCTAATTATAAATGCTATTATAAGACATGGAAATGGGAACATTTCTCTAAAGTGAAAAATATGGAATTGAAAACCTAGATAGAGTTGATATGCTAACAGACACAGATAATTTAACTTTGATAAAATTAAGTAAAGATTGGTAAATTTATTTTTACCAATATCTTATAAAGAATTTTATTATCACTGCTATCAGTGAACTAGTGGCTTCATAGATGACAGAGTTTTCATCTTGTTTCAGCACCTGTATAGGCTGATTATCATTGCTACATTCCAGAAAGGCCAAGAAAATATTGGGAAAAACCAGTTCCATTATTACCTACACATGGTGGTTGAGCCTTGCCTCATATAAGATATAATATTTATCTTAAAAATAACAGGAATCAGTAAACAAATGATGCATTTAGTAGATAAAACAACTCCTGTTAGCCCATATGCAGTACATAGGCAAATAAAACACATAAGTCAGAGTATAACTGGTGATCACTTATGTTATTCTTGTAACATAGCTAGTCAAAGACTTTAACCTCTGATACGATAGTAATAATTATGGCAGCAGAAATTGGATGTACTTGCACATCTATTTCAATATTCAGGGTATTTTTTAGCCTGTTTGAATATATATAGTATAGTAGGTGGCTTATAAACCAGGGAAATTATTTTTCACAGTGATAGAGGCTGGGAAGTACAAGATCAAGTAGCCATCAGATTCAGTGTCTGGTGAGGACACACTTCCTCATAGACACTGCCTTCTTTCTGTGTCCTCACAAAAACGAAGGGTAAAGGAGCTCTCTCCAGCCTCTCTTATAAGGCCATTAATCTTATTATGAGGGTAGAACCCTCATGACCTAATCATTCCCAAAAGCTCCACGTCCTAACATCGTCACCTTGGGGGTGAGGATTTTAGCATGTTAATTTTGGGGAAACATAAATATGCAGACCCTACAGGGTTAAATTATAACGTGATGTACAATAAATCCTAAAATTCTAATTGGCAGTGCTACTCAGATTAGTTTTTATGCAACTAAAGAATGGTTTCCTGAACATTATGTTAAAATATGTGAAATTTTTCCAAAGCATGTATCCTTCAGCATGTCCAACACTTCAGCGCAAATGTTGATATTAAATTGGGTCTCTGCTTTCTGTTAGATTTGTAAAGGTAATACTTAGATTCTGTTTTGTTAACAGTGATTTCTATGGCAGTTATAAAAAGTTGTAATAATACTGAAAATGGAATTAGTGGTCTGTGGTATTGGGATGTAAAAGGTGGTTTTATTTTAATTAATTGCAGTAAGAAAATTAATGGCACCTAAAATTGATGAAACCTTGCTAGATGAGGAAGATGATAAAGAAATCTATCGTGCCGACAGGTGTTAGACTGCCAGTGGGTGGAGGGCACACTGTTCACTCTAGTCCTGCCTTGCTCCTGCTGTTGATGCTGCAAGCAGTAAAAGGAATCCTGGGGCAATAATCAAAAGCTTATTTATTTATTAGAATGCTCTATCTGGAGTGCCTATAATTAATGGCCTTAATGAGTTTCAAAATCTTCCAATCATGACGGTATTATGATTAAGAAAATTATTACTAAGAAATAAGCAATAACAGTTATAAATCTGAGCATCTCCTAATAAAACTACACATTGATTAAAATCACCCTGAATTAGCAAGTTAAGGGCAGTCTCCACTATATAGAGCAGTGACCACTTTGTGATTTGTTGAGAATAGTCAAGGGTAGATGAATCTATGTGAGAATAATTTTTGTACATAAAATATAAAGACAGAGGATAATTCCTCATTTATCAAGCTGGGAAGTTTAACTTATACACTGAGTTGCAAATCCAATGAAGTAACTAAAACCTTTTCTGTATTTCTTCTGCCTTTTCTCGAAAGTTAAAAGTGGATCAGAGCAAATAATTCAGGGAAGTTAGCTCTTAATGTAAATGACTCATGTGCACACACACACACACACCCACAACAACACACACGCACCCCACAGAGTAATTGCCTACGTGGAATTCATGATTTTTGTTTCTGCTCAAAGGATTCTGGATTATTCAAGTTCTGGACACTATGAGCTTGACTGACTACACTGCTAAGCTTCATATAGAGAAGACTAATAGTAATTCTAGCTTTAAATCTTCTTTTGGTTTGATTTTTTCCTGCTGAGTTCATGTGCTGGACATTAAATCCTCAATGCAACAGTACTGAGAGGTGGGAATTTTAAGAGGTAATTAGGCCATGCAGGCAAAGCTCACATGAATGCATCAATGTTGTTATCATGGGAACAGGTGAATTATCATGAGTGTGGGCTGAGTGTAGGCTTGCTGTAAAAGCTAGTGGCCCCTCCTTACTCTCTTGCTCTCTTGCAATCTCTGGCTCTTCCACCTTCTGCAAGAAGACCGTCACCAGATGCGGGCCTGTGGGAGTTTTCAACCTCAAGAACTCTAAGAAATAAATTTCATTTCTTTATAAATTATCCAGTCTGTGATATTCTGTTATAGCAACACAAAATGGACTAAGACAAACCTATTAACTGATATAATGATAAAGTAGACACTCAAATTGTTAAAGCAAGGTCAGGACCATAACAGGTGCAATAATCTATGTTACTATTAATCGCATTAGAGATCGAAGTGGTTTTTATGATTCTTTAATATATCATTTATGACATCTGCAATCGGTTCAAATAATCCATATGGAACTAAGTTAGTTGGTTTTTTGAAATTCAGTGACCCAATTTTTTATTTGATAAGCCCTCAGAAGGCCTAAACTAATACAATAGGGAAATATTGCAATTATAAATTACTTAGGAACATGCTTGTTAAAAAATAACAATGAGGCTGGGTGCGGTGGCTCACACCTGTAATGCCAGCACTTTGGGAGGCCAAGACAGTGGATCACCTGAGGTCAGAAGTTCGAGACCAGCCTAACTAACATGGTGAAAACCCACCTCTACTAAAAATACAAAATTAATCAGGCTTGGTGGCACATGTTTGTAATCCCAGCTACTTGGGAGGCTGAGGCAGGAGAATCACTTGAATCCGGGAGGCGGAGGTTGCAGTGAGCCGAGATCGTGCCATTGCACTCCAGCCTGGGCAACAAGAGCAAAACTCTGTCTCAAAAAAAAAAAAAAAGCCTCTGAAAACAAAGTTTTATATTTACATTATTACTGAGTTCTATTATCTCAATGGGCCTGATTCTTAGACATTTTTTCGTTAGTTAATTTTTTGAATTTATAATGGACACATAATACTTTACATATTTCTGGAATACAGTGTGATGTTTCAATGCATCCATGCATTATATGATGATCAAACTGGGGTAATTACTAATCTGTCACTTTAAACATTTACATTTATTTGAGCTGAAGTTCAAAATCTTCTCTTATAGGTATCTTGAAATATACACTACATTGTTATTTGTTATAGCCACCCTACTTTGTAATAAAACAGAACTTATTCTTTCTGTATAACTGTAACTTTCTACTCATTGAACAACCTCTTTGTCTTTTCCTGCCCCTTTTCTTCCCCAGCCTCTAGTAACCACTATACTACTTTCTGCTTCTATGAAACCAACTTTTTTAGATTCCACTTATGAGTGAGATCACATGGTGTTTGTGTTTCTGTGCCTGGCTTATTTCACTTAACATAACATCCTCCAGGTTCACGCATGTTGCCTCAAATGATAGGATTTCATTTTGTTTTATGGCTGAATGGTATTCCATTGTGTATGTGTGTGTACAGTCAATGGTGATGACTGGATGGGACTCCTGTCTGTCCTGCCAGTGCAGCAGATTCCATTCTGGTTAGGGGTGAGGTAGAAGCGTTGTCTGGAAGCACTGGCCAAAAATAAGGGCTTGTGGTTTTCAGTTCAGGGCTGTTTTACTGTGGCAGAGTTGGTACTAGTTCCCAGGGCAAAGTCTCCTGCACACTTCCCTCTTCTTCCCTGGAGAAGTCTCTCTCAAAGCTGCACTGCCTAGAGTTGGCAGAGAGGTGACATGGGCACTCCTGTGGCTGCTGCAGCTTATGTCTCACTGAGTCGTATCTGAAGCTTATAGCCTTCCAGACCATGTCAATAACAGTGCTCACCCAAGGATAGTAATCACTATGACCTCCCTGTCACTAAAATGAGGACCCATTGGGTCCATTTATTTGGTGCCAAAGGCCACTTTAATCAGCTGGTAGTAAAGCAGATCAGGACTCAGATTCCTCCTGCCCAGGCTGCAGATTTTCTTCTTGCCTGGGGCAAAGCCTAAATGCTCCCTCCATAGGCACCAGACTGGAAAAGGGAGCCATGTGTTTCTGCCTGGTACTGTGTTTCACTGTGGGGAAGCTGATACTAAGTTCCAATGCAAAGTCCCGTACTCACTTTCCTCTTCCTCTCCCAAGCAGATTGTCTATGCAGTGCTGCATGGGGTTGGCAAAGGAGTGATGAAGACAGTTCAAGACTGTTCTTCCTATCCTCTTTAACACATCCTTTCCTGTTATTATGCTATAACTTGGTGCTGTGATTTCTCACCTGATTTAGTTACCTCTTGTGAGAAGAAGTTTTCTTGTGTGGATAGTTATTTAATCTGAAGTTTCCCTGAGTGAGCGGCTACACCGGGGGTAGGGTTGAGGGTGGAGTGGGGCATGGCGGGGTGGGGATTGCTGGAGGGTTTATTCCAGCAACTTGTTCTGCCTCTCCCTTAGACTAGGATTTTAATAATTTATTGTACTTAGATAAATATCAAATTAATATTAAGCCCTTTTGTAGAGTGGACCTCATTTTTAAAGCCCTTTCATATTGTAAGACACCTTTGCATAAAGAATCATCAAATGAAATTGCTCTGATATGAACTTAGGTAACATTCAACTTTACCCATGGCACTAAAGAACCTTAAGTAGAAGTCACATCTTTAGGATGTATGGATGCAACAATAAAATCATAAACTTAATCATCAATTTGACCTCTAAAATGGAATTTTATTATTACCAATTGAAAAATCTGTTCATCAATAAAATAGATTATCAACCAAAAAAACTTGAGCCAACTAATAATGATCACGTATTTGAGTGATTAGTCTAGCTTTGATCATTGGGAGGCTTTACTATGTTCTGAGGTCACCTCAACCAAAATAATTAATTCAGATCATGATTACTTTAGCTAATTAGACAATAAGTTTCTATATTCAATTAACAAATTAAGTTTTTTTTAGTAAATAGAGGGGAGATAATGGTTTATTAAATTTCTTTTATTCCTTTTAATCTTATTACATTTGTATTTTAGGTTAATAGTACATTACACTAATACTTTCTATGTTTTCAATCTATTTGCTATCAGTGGTTTATTCATTATTGTAAGGGCTTATGTAGAAAAGTATTTCTTATTGTTTATATTAATTTTTTCTCTGCATACATGGATTAAAACAATAAGGTATTAGGAGGTGATTTTGCTTATTGGTATTTCGTTATGATTGAATAGAATGCATGAGAAATTGAAGCTTCTCTTAAGCCAATTATAATTTTATGAGTAATTTCTCTCCAAGGAAGATTTTGTCCTATTTCAAATGACTTGTATATCTTCTGGTTAACATTTAAATTTACATTAAGATGGATTCTTCTTAAGGTAAATTTAAAGTTGACCTTAAATTCTGCTTCGGATAACCAGCTTTTAGCTCTAGCTATAAATCCTTCTCATTATTTTTTCACAGAGAAGAATTTTTCCTAATTAACTATTTACAAGTAGCTTGTCTGTTTTCTGTGTCTTAAGTAAAATTTCTCTGTAATGTTCTAGTTAATTCATTATGCCAAAGGTATAAAAATATACTCCGTTCTTCTATGACAATTTTGTATTTTATTTTTTCTTTGTTATACTCTTTAAAATCTAAATTAGATTTCTCTGTTCCATACCATATGGAATAATTTGGTATAGTTATTAGTGACAGTTTTCCTTGCTTTATTAGTGAGAATTGTATTTAGTTTAATTAGAGCTAGGATTGGTTCAAGTGGCTTCAAGGTTAGTTTCAATTCCCCAGCGGCATGCTTTGCACTTTAAATTGTCCTTTGGTTTGCCCAATGACTTTGTAATATGCTTACTTATGGTATTAATTTTTTCGATACATATTACTTATTTTATACTATTCATATTATGTTAGATTTTGATATGGTTAGGCTTTGTGTCCCCACCCAAATCTCATCTTGAATTATAATCCCCATAATCCCCACATGTCAAGAGAGAGACTAGGTGGAGGATAATTGGGCCATGATTGCAATTTGCCCCATCCTGTTCTCATGACAGTGAGAGAGTTCTCATAAGATCTGATGGTTTTATAAGGGGCTATTCACCCTTCCATCAGCACTTCTCCTTCCTGCTGCCTTGTGAAGAAGGTGCCTTGCCTCCCTTTTGCCTTCTGCCATGATTGTAAGTTTCCTGAGATCTCCCTAGCCATGCTGAACTGTGAGTCAATTTAACCTCTTTCCTTTATAAATTACTCAGTGTCAGATAGTTTTTTATAGCAGTATGAAAATGGTCTAATACAGTAAATTGGTACCATAGAGAGTGGGGTACTGCTATAAAGATACCCAAAAATGTGGAAGTGACTTTGGAACTGAGTAACAGGGAGAGGTTGGAACAGAGGGCTCAGAAGAAGACAGGAAAATGTGGGAAAGTTTAGAACTCTCAGAGACTTGGAAGGCTCAGAAGAGAAGAAGATAGGGGAAAGTTTGGAACCTCCTAGAGACATGTTGAATGGCTTTGAACAAAATGCTGATAGTGACATAGACAATAAAATCCAGGCTGAGGTGGTCTCAGATGAAGATGAGGAACTTGCTGAAAACTGGAATAAAGGTGACTCTTGATATGCTTTAGCAAAGAGGCTGGTGACAATTTGCCCCTGCCCTAGAAATCTGTGGAACTTTGAACCTGAGAGAGTTGACTTAGGTTATCTGACAGAAGAAATTTCTAAGCAGCAAAGTGTTCAAGGGGTGGCCTGGGTGCTCTTAAAAGTATTCAGTTTTATGCATTCACAGGGAGATAGTTTGAAATTGGAACTTGTGTTTAAAAGGGAAGCAGAGAATGTCTGGATAATTTGCAGTCTGATGATGTGATAGAAAAGAAAAACCCATTTTCTGAGGAGAAATTCAAGCCTGCTTCAGAAATTTGCATAAGTAAAGAGGAGCCAAATGTTAATCACCAAGACAATGGGGAAAATGTCTCCAGGGCATATCAGAGGTCTTCATGGCAGCCCCCCCACCCTGCCCCATCACAGGCCTGGAAGCCTCAGAGGAAAAAATGGTTTCATGGACTGGGCCAGGGCTTTGTTCTTTTGTGCAGTCTCGGGACTTAGTGCCTCATGCCCCAGCTGTGCAGCTCTGGCTGAAAGGGCCAAACGTATAGCTTTGGCCACTGCTTCAGAGGGTGCAACCCCCAAGCTTTGGTGGCTTACACATGGTGTTGGGCCTGCAGGTGTGCAGAAGTGAAGAACTGAGGTTTGGGAACTTCTGCCTAGATTTCAGAGGATGTATGGAAATGCCTGGATATCTAGGCAGGACTTTGCTGCAGTGGTAGAGTCCTCGTGGAGAACCTCTGTTAGGGCAGTGTGGAAAGCATATGTGGGGTCGGGGCTGCCACACAGAGGCCACACTGGGGCACTTCCTACTTAAGCTATGAGACTAGGACCACCATCCTCCAGACACCAGAATAATAGGTCCACTGAAAACTTGCACTGTGTGCCTGAAAAAGCAGCAGACAATCAACATCAGCCTGTGAAAGCAGCTAGGAAGATGCTGTACCCTGCAAAGCCAAAGGGGCAGAGCTGCCCAAAGCCATGGGAGCCTACTTCTTGCATCAGCGTGGCTTGGATGTAAGATATGGAGTCAGAGGAGATCATTTTGGAGTTTTAAGATTTAATGACTGCCCCTTTGGATTTTGGATTTGCATGGGGTCTGTAGCCCCTTCATTTTGGCCAATTTCTCCATTTTGGAATTGGAGCATTTACCCAATGCCTCTACCTCCATTGTATCTTGGGAGTAACTCAATTGTTTTTTATTTTACAGGCTTATAGGCAGAAGGGACTTGCCTTGTCTCAGATAAGACTTTGGACTTGGACTTTTGGATTAAATCTAAAATGAATTAACAATTTGGTGGACTGATGGGAAGGCATGATTTGTTTGAAATGTGAAAAGACGAGATTTGGAAGGGGCCAGGGGCAGAACAATATGGTTAGGCTTTGTGTTCCCACCCAAATCTCATCTTGAATTATAATTGCCATACTCCCCATGTGTCAAGGGAGAGACCAGGTGGAGGGTAATTGAATCATGGGGGCACTTTGCCCCAGGCTGCTTTCATGATAGTGAGTTCTCACAAGATCTTTTGGTTTTATAAGGGGTTCTTCCACCTTTGCTCAGCACTTCTCCTTCCTGCTGCCTTGTGAAGAAGGTGCCTTGCTTTCTCTTCTCCTTCTGCCATGGTTGCAAGTTTCCTGAGGTTTCCCCAGCCATGCTAAACTGTGAGTCAATTAAACCTCATTAATTTATGAATTACCTAGTCTCAGTCATTTCTTTATGACAATATGAAAATAGACTAATATAGATTTTTATTTGAGGAAAGTGAGCTATGCCTACATTTCAAAGCCTCATTAGATTGGGCTTCCTTCTGTTGTTAATTTACTTTTAACCTCTTAGCTTTCTAAAGGATTCTGTTAATAGACTTATAAGTGAGAGAATGTAGCTCATTCTCTATGCCCTGATCTGAGGTTTATATGATAATTATTGTCATAATTTTACCACCCTTTTTAGAGTTTGCTGAAATGACATTGTGTTAACTGAATTAGCAAGTGGTTGTGAAGTTTATTGAGATTTTGGATTGTAGAACAGGGTTCTTTAGTACAATTTAAAGTATTGACAGATAATTTGAATTTTATTGTACTGCCAATAGTATTCTGGTGAATTTTAGTTTATAAATAACATTGTGTATCCTAATGCATTTATTCCAGGTATTATAATTAATAGAAATGTTTTCTCTTATTTCAGAATATTTTATTTTCTCATATATTTGGAGAATTTTATTTCAAAGTCAAGACTAGTTATTTTAAAGTCTTATCTGTAGAATAGTTGAACTGGCAAAATAATGTCTTTTTAAAATAGATCTCCACAAAAGATATGTGGATAAAAATAGCTTAATATTGTTAAATATATTATTAAACCCCCTGAAATCCAAATTAATAACTTTTAGCTTAATTGGGTATAAGTTCAGTCCTAGAAAAATAAAAAAGATTCCCTGTGTTGTTGATGTGTTATATTTTCAAGGTGTTAGCCTTGAAAATAATAATCTTATTCTTATTTTGAAACAATTATTTCTTTTGCATTTGAAATACATGTTTGAAAACTAGAAGTTTGGTAGAACAACTTAAAAGATTAAAACACAACATCTTAAAATCTGGAAAAATTATGTTCTAATCACATTCCAGCCTTTAATATCTCACATTCTTTATAAAAGCATGCATAATTATCCCACAATTCATTAGCTTGCTCTTCAGCATTTGACACAGTTTGCATAGAACATTTTGCTATTCTAATCTTGGTCTTTCATAGCTAACAAGAGAAAGTCCTTTTATATTTCAGTGATTATATAATCTTCCTTTAGTGGATATGACTTTCTCCTATGTCCTCAACAAATTACTTACAGCAAGACATAGTTCATTCGCCAGCATAAGCCAGCATAATGCAAGATACAAAGTTTCTTCTAACTTCCAAGAGAGTTCAATTCTATTCCCCAAACTCAGAATGCATTTGGAGATATACGTGTTTTTAAGGGGACCAAAAAATTACTAAGGAATTCTTGATGCAGGTTGTTATTCATATAATCTTATCCCAAACTCAAATTTCTTTCAGGTGGGAAATTTTATCTGAATAATTCAAACAATTTTATCTAATAGTTCAATTAATTTAGTTTGGGGAAAATATATTTTCTAATGTCAGTCTTTCTATTATGCAGGTAAATTCATTCATTTACATTATGCTCAAAAGCAAACATTGATAGCATTTGTTTTGTATATTTTCTGCCTGTGAACACACATGAAAACACACACACACACACACACACCATTCCAATTCATTTTTTTTTGTATATTCTAGAGTTTCAAATTCTGAACAGCCTTGCTCAATTATATAAACAAATCTGTTGATTTCCATATCAGTATTTGATATTTGCCCTTATTTACACCAGCCACATATTGATTCATTGAGGTTAAATATTATAAAATGTGTAATTAATGTTAAAAGTCCTTAATGTTTTAATTTATGTCTAGTGTTAAAAAATGTGGATCTATAAAAAGTCAGTGATACTGAATATCTGTACTTCAAAGAGGCTATCTCTAGTTGCCTATTTTTGGTTCTGATCAAAATTTCAATTAACCAATTAATGTTTTTTGTTGTTTTTTGTTCGTTTATTTGTCTGTTTTTTGAAAGGGAGTCTTGCTTTGTCACCCAGTCTGGAGGACAGTGGCGCCATCTCTGCTCACTGCAACCTCTGCCTCCTGGGTTCAAGCGATTCTCCTGCCTCAGCCTCTGGAGTAGCTGAGATTACAGGCACGTGCCACTATGCCTGGCTAATTTTTGTATTTTTAGTAGAGATGGGGTTTCACCATTTTGGCCGGGCTGGTCTCGAACTCCTGACATCAAGTTATCCATCCACCCTTCTCGGCCTCCCAAAGTGCTGGGATTACAGGTGTGAGCCACCAAGCCCAGCCTCTATTGAGCCAATTAATATGTTAAATGTCACAGGAGAAGACATGTTAAACTGTACATCATTTCTTTATATTTTTAAGCCTTCTGCCTGAAAAATTTGAGAATATCCCTAACCTCAAAAAGATAAATTTTGAAATTATCAAAGGTGTAAACTCTATAACAAGGTTGTGATTGAACAATTGAGTCCCTAAGCTGTTGTTTCATATACAATATAAAGTAAGCCAATATGTACTGCAGGAGGCCTGTGAGCACAAACACTCCACAGAGGAGTTGATATGGAGGGAACATTGGAAATGCTGATTCTAGAATGCTTAGGGGTAGTGGAATCTTTGTGAAACAAACTTTAATATGCATGTCAAAATGAGTGGGAGGGCCTGAAGCTATATTAGTTGACTTCTAAAACAAACTCCCTTGACTCTGAGTTCATGCTTATAAGAGGAGATTTCTAATAATTTGGTTTCCTATGGAAGTAGTTTATAGCATTCTATTACAGTTCCCTATACATTTATCAAGAGGACTTACTCTGTGTCCAGCATTGTGCAGGCATTATTGAGATTCATCAGGCACCGAGGAGACCCATGATATTGCATTCTGATGAGGGAATGATATAGATAAACATATAGACACTTTCAAAACATTCTTAAGGGCTATTAAAAAAGCATGCTAAACAACATTAGAAACTGTATTCTAAGCATTTGAATATGTGTGTTATTGAGTGAGTAAAACTACATTTATACATAAGCGTGTATAGAAAAAAATCCTATAATTATATAAGCAATATGAGTGATTAAATCTGGGAAGAAGAATGAGATGGCTTATGAATGAATTAAAGATCACTTTATTTTACTTAATTCATTTGTTTTTTTCTTTGTAAAATAATGTGAATATACTCATTTTCTTGAATATATATTAATGCATGTGTGCACACACATAAGAAGGGGGAAAGAATTCTAAAGAATGAGTAGGAGGAAATCCTGGAAAAAGTGCAGTGGATGTTTTTCAAGCTTTCCAAACTGCTTCTGTCAAGACTCATAAATTAGAAAGAATGCAAGTCTTTCAAGGGGCTGCAAATTGTTTAGTAGACCCGGATGTAGAACTAGACATGGGTAGTGAGAAAGTGAAAAATGACCCTAGCAGCTCACTGCTGGAAGCTAACAGTTTGCCTTAATTGTCCCAACTAAACATAAACAACTTTCTTAGAATAGAACCAATACTCAGGCAAGGCCACTCTGTGACCACACTAGAATAAGACAAAGAAAGGACACCTACCTTGCAATCACAGTAACTAAACATCCCCTTCCAAAGGCAAGCAAAAGTGACTACTGTTTCTTTACTAGTGATAATTTTAGCTCCACTTTGAATGCCTTGTCTTCCAGATTAAAAAACATGTAAGGATATCCAGTCATTGACTTGTTCCTGGTACTTGACAACATCCTATCCAGAATTGTCTGCACTTCTCTAAATCTGCTTTAGAATCTCTCTGCACATGTCGGAATATTATCATAAGCCTCTCCTAACTTTCTTTGACAAAAGCGCTGTGTTCCTCTGATGTGTATTCTCCCTTGCTGCAGGAAGCTGCAATAAACCTTAATAGCTTTGACTAAACTTGTGTGGTGGCCATTGGTTAGTGGGCTTTGATGATAGTTGCAGATGAAACCGTATAGTTAAGCTGGCGTGAGGTCACAAAGATCACACTAAAATGTACAATGCCAAGGAAATAAAATTTAATTTTTATCTGTAGTCATGGGAAGATGTAACCCATAGAAGGGAGAATTTTGGAATTGTTTAAAACATCAATCTACTGATAATATAGAAAATAAGTTGGAGTAGGCAAAAGAGTGAAAGGAAATAATTTAAGGGGAAGCTTTAGCAATCCGGACAAGAGGTGAAGGGGACCACAGTTAAGGACTGCTAGTGTGGATATTAAAAAGTAGACAGAGAATAAGTGTAGGGCTTGGTAACTGGTCATCACCATATCATGTATTCAAAACCAATCTGGAAGGAACACCTCTGGGGATGGTTGAATGATTAATTGAGTAGCAGTTTGAAATCCAGGAGGCAATTCAATCCATTGATCTCAAACTCAGGAGAGATATTGGGGCTGGAAATACAGATTTGGTTGCCACCAGCAGAGGGATGACAATGACAGCCATTGAATTTTTGTGACATTTATAGATATCCTACACTGAATGAACCCAGATGGTTCTGCTATTCTAGTTTTTGCTATCTCCTTCTAGCAACTAGCTAATTGAGGTATTCAATTATGAAACATAAAATGAAACTAAATAGGATAATTTGTACCTGCTTTAAGATGACAAGTAAACTAGATTCAGTTGATTCATAGCTACAGATCAGCTATGAGATAAAATAATACATATTCTCTCCTATTTTTGAATCCAAGTTTGTAGGCAGGAAAGAGTTAGGGATATAATTGTTCAGTTAATCTTCCCAGGCCCAAGGAAACCCATGACAATGTTGGGGTTCAGATAAATAGATGCAGGAATGGAGGATTTTCCTTTGGAAGAGATCTAAGCCTTTTTCCTTTTCTAGGCGCTATTACATGTATGAGAGAGTGACAGTTTTAAGTAGCTACAGGGAAGGCAATCTTGGCAATCCATGGTCAGAGGATTTAATTCATTTCCACATGCATTTCACTCCAAATAATTTTCTCAAGACAGCCAAGATTTGAGAGGCAAATGGATCCCTCCAGGGGAAAATGTTCTTAGCACAGGATTAGACAAAGCTTTTGTTCAGCAATCGTCCCCTGACCCAGTAGCTGTAGAACACGAGAATTTATTATTTGAATTTATCCTTGTTTATTTCTTAGTCACAACTTTGGGCAATATGAAAGAGTGTGTTGTAAGTATAATAATATTGAACATTCATGCAGTAGACATACATTACCTACATTGTCTTATTTAGTCATCATCGTAACCTCATGCATTTATTAACATGTAATCCTGATTTTATGTTGACACAGCTGAGACTTAAATAAATTATCTGTTATAATATAGTTACTAGAAAGACTCGATATTTTTAAGGTGTCAATTATTCCAAACTTGATCTATAGATTTATAGATTCAATGCAATCCTAATAAAAATCACAGCAAGTTATTTTGTGGTCTTGACAAAATGATTTTATAGTTTATATGGAGAGGCAAATGACCTAAAATAGCCAGCACAAAATTGAAGGAGAACAGAGTTGTAAGACTAACTCTACCTGACTTCAAAACCTATTATAAAACTACAGAATCAAAACAACATAGTACTTTTGTAAAAAATAGACAAATAGATCAATGGAACACAATACAGAGTACAGAAATAGATGCATACAAATATAGTAAACTAATCTTTGATAAAGCAGAAAAAGCAATATGATGGAGCAAAGATGTTTTTGTTTTTCACAAATCATGCTGAAACAACCAGACATCCATATGCAAATAAAAAAAAAAAGAATCTGGATGGAAACCTTATACCATTAACAAAAATTAACTCAAGATGGATTATGGACTTAAATGTAAAATGTAAAACTGTGAAACCTCTGTAAGTTAACGTAGGGAAAAGCCTAGATGACCTTGGGTATGGAGATGAATTTTTAAATACAACACCAAAGGCACAATCCATGAAAGAAATAGTCGATAAGCTAGACTTTGTTAAAGTTAATATAGCTAGTAGATATTAGAACTGACTCCAGAAGTAGAAATCTTAAAAACTAAACTTTTGTTTACATAGTGTAGAAATTAGTGCATAGTCTTTCGATGATCCTCAACCTAACCATTATCTTTTTGTATTATCAATCTAATCATTATATTGTTCTTATTTGATAGTAATCAGTTACTTATAGTTTATGATCAGTTATATAATATCAGTGTCTGCCAAATTTTATACTGGTATAAGTTAACCTCTGACATTTTACATATGATAGTATTGTGGTTTTATTTATTTTATTTTTATTTTTATTTTTGAGACGGAGTCTCACTCTTGTACCCCAGTGCAGTGGCGTGATCTCAGCTTATTTCAACCTCTTCCTCCTGGGTTCAAGCAATTCTCCTGCCCCAGCCTCCCAAGTAGCTGGGATTACAGGCGCCCACCAACATGCCTGGCTAATTTTTTTATTTTATTTAATCTTTTTCATAGTAGAGACAGGGTTTCACCATCTTGGCCAGGCTGGTCTTGAACTCCTGACCTCAGGTGATCCACCTGCATTGGCCTCCCAAAGTGCTGGGATTACAGGTGTGAGCCACCGTGCCCAGCCGTATTGGGGTTTTAATTTCTCTCTTAGGAAAAAATCATAATTATCTTCCCTTTTCCTTTAATTTCATCTCAAAATTGGAAAGTTACTGTATAATCACTTTTCCTCTCATGTATATTCTCTTAAATACAGAGGCTTTTAACATAGATGCATTGACCTCTTCTTTTTCTGTTGTTTATTTGGTTTTAGCACCTATAGCCTTGGTCTATCACTCCACATTCTGTTTTCTCTTAGATCACAACTGGTATTCTATCTGCAGATCTTTGTGTGCTGATTTAAAATGCAGTTTTGGGGGCCCCACATTACATTTACTGAATCAGAGTCTCTAGAGATGAGGCCTATGCATTTCCAGTTTTAACAAGGACTCTAAGTAAGTCTTATGCACATTATAGTTCGACAACCACAGCTATAGGGAGGAATGATTGGATATAATTTTCTAGATGTTTTACCCAGCTGCTAATCTTTAATTATATATGATTAAAATAACACAAAATTTGTTTTTATTTTCTCTGAAATTGCAGATAATACATTATTACTCCACACACCTTACAATTTTTGCAAGATATTTTCAGAAGCATATAATTAGTATAATAGCATAATCATACAGACAAAACTCAAGTGTGAAAAGATACATTTTATTTAACATATGATTAAGTGTTGGAATTCACAAACAGGAATTAACACTTTAAAGACAAAGAAGATTCACAGCTATGAACACAGAGGTTAAAAGTTATATATGGAAAGGGAATGAAGGAGAAGAAACCAGGCATTTCTCACCGTATTATCAGAAAAAGTCAGAGATTGTCTTTATTTTATGGCTAACCTAACCCAAAAGGGAGGCAAAAGATAAGACAATTATATAAAGCAAAGGCAGAATCATTCAGTTTATCAAGTTCCTTAGATGAAAAATTATTAAATAATCAGGCTCACCACTTTCAAAGCTAATGGAAACGTAAAGTAAGTTATAGTAAATAATATAAAGGATACATTAGTTTTATATTATAGTTAGGTAAGGAAGTGGAAAGCATATGAAGATAAGGTGGGAAGAGGAAGCCACAGAGGCAGAAAATAAGAGGGCAAAAATATGAAGGTTTACAGATTAGCCATCAGTGGAAAAAGCTGAAGGAAGAAAGCATCTTCCAAAGCTGCCATAATAGTTGTCACGTAATATCAATTTCCTTCTTCTTTAGTAGCAGATTCTCAATATTTCTTAGGGACTTGATGTTTTCAGCTAAATGACACTACTTCCCAGTCTTTCTTAAATCTAGACATGGCATTGAGACAAAATTTGAACCGATATGAGATAAGGAAACCATAGAAGGCGGCTTTCAGGGAGCCCTTTTAGCTGGGAGAAGCATCCTTTATCCCTCCCTCTTTCTTGGTCCTGCTCCTGGGAAATTGGGGAGGGGTGGGGAGCTTAAGAAACGCTCTTGTACCAGGAAATATATTTCAGCACAGCCCGGGAGCACATAGCATGCTCCCATTTCCCCTCCACAGAAGTGGCACTGATTTTGCTGCTGAGGATATGCAAAGGTGACAGGTCTCAACATTTCCTCCCTGGTCTGGGGTGGGTAAGGGCACCTACCAAGCCAGGGAAAGGCTTGTTGGCAAACTCTAGGAGTTGGTATCTCAGAGGAATGCCAAGCTGTGACCATACAATTCAGGCATGGACTGACAAACTGGATTGAGGGTCTATCACTGAAGCCAGCAAAACCCATATGCCAGGGAGCAGTGGAGGTAGGGTATCATGGGGCTTGCAGTCAGTCCACTGCTTCTCCATATCTCAGCTGCGGCATCTATACCTGGGCCATGCAAAAGTGTTCAGCCTCCCTGTTCCCTTCCTGGGCCAGGAGTGGAAGGAGTGGAGGCAGTGGCAGTGGCCAAAATTGCAAAGGGCTTGTCAGCAACCTCTGGGAGTTGTACTCTCAGAGGAGCACTGAGCAGTGTTCTGGTGGGGGTGGGGCAGGTGCACTGGGAGCCCAAGCCAGCAAGCCCTATTTGGCAGGGAGCAGTGGAAGTTGGGAGTCACCTGGTATGCAGTCTGGCTGCTCCTCAGTGCCCTGGCTGTGGCAT
This sequence comes from Homo sapiens, assembly GCF_000001405.40. Lineage (NCBI taxonomy): Eukaryota > Metazoa > Chordata > Mammalia > Primates > Hominidae > Homo > Homo sapiens. The sequence continues at coordinate 31,487,177 of NC_000009.12, read as the reverse complement.
CTGTCCTGGGGGGGTGCATAAAAGTGCCTGGCCTCCCTTTTTGGCAGGGTGGTGGCAGCTGGTGCTGGGCTACTCAGGGATCAAAACCCTGTGGTGTTCCATGTAGACTTGAGTGGTGCCTGTGCACCGGCTCTAATTGGCTCTCTGTGTTGGTCTAGAGGCCCATGGTAGATCTGGGGGCTCTCCTGTGCCTAGGATTAATGAGGTCTGTGGTGGAGGTGTGGATCCCTGGGCATCTCTCACTCACTCACCCTTTACCCACATTAAGGAGCCTCCCCAGTTTTGTGCTGGTCCTGGGTCAGCAGCTGCCTGGCTTTACTCCTCTCTGCTCTCCAGAGTTCCCATTGTTTCCCTGGTGAAGCCCAGCATGATCTCTTAGATGATCCACTTGAAGAGTTAATAAGTACTTGCTATCTTGTTTCCTCTCCATGAGAGAGGCATGCACTAGCTGCTTCTAGCCATTCATCTTGGATCTGCAACATAGTTATTTTAAATGAGGAATTATTTCTGAAATCCAAAAATAGAGAGTTAAGTACCAGGACATTCTGTTGAGCACAAAGAATTGAATTCGTGCTTTTACCTTTGCTTTCTCCAAATCCTTACTGAAATTACTACAGTGAAAGAATAGACCCACAGGAACAAGAGAATGGGAGAGGGTATGACTGCAACACATTTGTGGAACTGGGAAAACAGGTAAGTATTCAGTGACTTCAAATGCTAGAGAAATTTGAAATCTAAACTAGCAGTCACGGGAATGCAGAAGAGAGGTAACCCACTACCTGGCCACAGAAATGTTCAGATGTAGAAGACAACAAGGATCACTGCAAGTGGAAATGCAAATGGAGGTTTTTTGAAAATTTGTGGAAGATGTTGTTTGTTACCTGATTCTGTTTTACATTTGGTACAGCTGGCAACTAATCTTGCACAGTACCTGCAAAAGAAAGTTCACTGTATCAACAAACTAGAGGAAATTGGCTTTGAGCAATCAAAACATGAAATAATTAAAAATAAAACTGAGATATTTTTCCAAGAGTAGAAAAATGAGCAAAGAGATGGAGAGTAAAAGAAAAAAAATGAAATTAGGAAATAAATTTAGGAGGCCTAGCATCTGAAAAATTAAGTTCCAGAGAGAACTGAGAAAATGGAAGGGGGACACTTATCAAATACTTTTAACAATTTTTGAAGAACAGAGAGCATGCACTTTCAGATTGAAATTAAATGTCTAGAGAATTGATTAAAAAGCCATATCATAATGGTACTGAGTGTCTCCAGAAGCCATACTAGAAACTAGAGAAGACAATGGAGCAATTAATTACAATCTGTTTTGAACCTAGAATTCTGTAGTTGGCCTAATAGAAATAGTTGTAAGAGCAGATTGGAGACATTTGTGGATATTCAAAATACTCCTTTAGCCTTCCTTACACCCTTTCCAAGGACGCCACTGAAAGAGGCACTTTGTCAAAATGAGATAATGAATTAAAAGAGGAAAATGTATTATCATAAACAAGGGGCTAGAACTACAGCTAAGAGAGAATCTCCAAAGAAGGAAAATGAAGAGTGAGATAACAGCCTTGCAGTGAGTTTGGAAAAACAGCAGCTAAGATTTGAGCAGAAGATAGAAGATTCCAGGAGGGATGTTTTCAAACAAATGTCTAATAGGATATGTGATGGTTTTTAATGTTTTAAGATGAAGTTCATAATTATGAAGGGCAGCTTAGGAATCAGTTATTGGTATGTTAAGATACAAAGAACAATGCAAACAAAACAAAAATAATTATTACTGCAAGAAAATAAGTTGTATATAGAAACAAATTGAATCATGATGTGCTTCCGCAATAACTTTTACTTGTGTAATAAAGACATTGACACCAAAAACTGCCTTTAACAACCATGATTACATAATGCAGTTGAGGAAATGGAGGAATGGGAAACGTGTTTTTGAGTTTGGTATGTAAGAAACCAGCTGCATCCATGCCAGATATTTTTGGAAAGTGAAAACCAAGAAATAGCTGTGTAAATATCTTATTTAGAAACATACAGACAAATGCCAAATTATTAGCTAAAAGAATTGAAAGAGGTGACTTCTAAGGAAGAGAAAGGGGTAGTGAGAAGAATAGTTTTCATAAAAATGTCTTGTTGTTTTACTTGACATATTAAATCATAATATTGTAATAAATAAGTCTAAGTAAAAATATTAAACGAATTATGCAAATACTCACTGCATGATAACACATTAAGCCTCATCATGCCTTTGTTATTTGGAGTGCTCAATATTACCAGCTACTTCCTGACATACATTTATACAGAGATGTAGAATAAGGGAAACAGGAACACGATGTCTCTGGAGGAGCAGAAGAGGGCATAGCAATATGTTTTTCATAGTTTCTAGTGTACCCTGGTCCTACTTAGGAAACTTGCTCATTTATTATCTAATGACAAAGATCAAACATAATTGATTACATTAAAAAAGAACATCATTTTTCATTGAGAAAAATTATAAAATCCCAGAAAGCATTAAAAACTCTACAAATTAAATATATGCATAAACATTATATCATTAGGCAATATGCTTTTCCTTTATTTGATATTGTTTGCAATATAGTTTTCTTTTATTTGATATCATATACAATAAAAAGTCACCCAAAGCAGGACTCTATACAGTGACTTCAAATTATCCCGCACTATGGCAGTATAATTTCCTGATAATTTTATTATCAGGATTTAAAAAAAAATCTGTTTTTCTGTTACTGTTCTTCTATTACTGTTTTTATGCCACCTTTCTTTGGCAATCAATATCCTTCCTTGATTTATTTTTCTTTATAGAAATTTCCATCTTTGAACTTATTAGAAATATACTGATTTTGTTGAAGGTCTGACCAATAAGGAGAGTATAAACTTCATGCTGGTGAGGGTTATTTTTGTCCCTTTTTTGGTCAATAATATATCACCTAGAATACTGTCCAGCACCAGGACATCATGGCGACGTACCCAGTGGAGTTGCACAGGGCCCCAAGCTCAGAAGGGCCTTTCTACTTGGGGCTTAAGGTCCTGCAGTTTTCACTTCCAAATCCTTAACGATTTTCTCTTTGAATTTGAACTTCGTAAGTGAAATCCAACTGGATGAGGGAATATGTGCTTGAGGCTTGGAGCCTGGACTCCAAGGGCCTGCCTCCTGCCACCTTCTTGCCTTCTCTGATAATTTCTCATCCATCTGCTCTGTGACCCCTTAGACCTACCTGATTGCTTCCTGGTGCCCTTCACTCCTAGCATCCTGGGGCAGGTCCTGGCCATGGCAGTCCCCTCCTTAATTTGTTGAGATTGAGCCTCTAGCCCACACTATTGGGTACCAGAGGTTACTAAATCTTACAGGCTGTATTTCTAAAATTCTCTATTCTATAACCATCATTTTTTCTTCCTATTTTTACTGAATTATATTAACATTTAGTCCTCTTTTCCCTGAATTCTGCAGTGGTCTGGTGGTTTCTGTCATATTCTCTTTCTTCTTTTCAATCATTGTAAGCTCCGGGGTGGGGTTCTTTTTCTCCCAGCAAGCCCTGTGCATCTCTGTCTCTCTCATAGTGTTCTTGTATATCATTGTTTTGTAGCAGTCTGTATGTGCCACATTCCTCTTATGGAATCAATAATTTATGAGTTTTAAAGAAAAGCAGTTATGAATTAGTAATAAACCTTGGTTAGTATCTCTAGTACAGGCTTTCAAAGGCATATTATTTTTCAGGAGATACGTTTACATTTTTAAGAAAGTGTGTTATTCAAATATGGTATTTATAAATTATAAAGGTGACAATTAGTATTTCTGTCCAGTTATTACAGAAAACATATCTTCTTAACTTTATCATATAGGTGTTAAAATTTCCTATAAATGAAAAGAAGTGGTCAAAGAGATGTTAAGTAACCAGGAGGCAAATGTCATCATATGCATTGTAGAAAACCAGGGTTGCTAAAGAAAAGTAAACTTGGAATATGTAAAAGTAGATAAGGAATATTTTGAACAGTGAAGTGAAATTCTATATTCCTCCTGAAGAAACAGAAAGGAACTACTAGGACACAAGTGCATCCAGTGAGCATTTTTTTTTTTTTAACAATTTTCTTGTTTTGTTCTTAGTATCACCCCCAAATTAAGAGGCAGCATTGAGGTCAATGGCTACATTTCAAAGAAACTACTTCTTTAGACAGCATGCAGTCTCATTGTGAAAGAGGCTGCTTAAACAAAGAAAAAAATATGAAAAAAGATTTCAGTGTATGACAGACAAGAGCAAAATATGATATAAAAGTAAACGGTATTGCCAAGGCTGAAAAATACAAGAAAAAAAGGCAAAGATATATTAGATGAAGAAAATAGTAGTAGGAGAAGAAAATAATTATAATGCAAACTGGGTTGATCCCAGTGCATCCTTTTTCTTGTCTATAAGGAATCTAACTCTCTCCTATTAAAGGAAAATGAAATGTTGTAATGCAAAATTATATAAAATATTTATATATAAATTGCTACTGAATATGTCTTTAAATAGTTCTGGCCAGGTAGTATATTAAATAGCCACTTACCTTGTTTCGTATATTATCTGTAGTGGAAATAGCCTGAATATTTAAAACATTTTTGTGGCTAAACAGCACAAATCAATTATATGTTGATATGGTTTTGCTGTGTCCCCACCCAAATCTCATCTTGAATTGCAGCTTCCATAATCCTCATGTGTAGTGGGAGGGACCCAGTGGCAGGTAATTGAATCATGGGGGCAGGTTTTTCCCGTGTTGTTCCCGTGATAGTAAAAAAGTCTCACAATATCTGATGGCTTTATAAAGGGCAGTTTCCCTGCACATGCTTCCTTGCCTGCCACCATGTAAAATGTGCTTTTTTTTTCTCCTTTGCCTTCTGCCATGATTGTGAGGCCTCACAGCCAGGTGGAACTGTGAGTCCATTAAACCTCTTTTTCTTTATAAATTACTCAGTCTCAGGTATTTCATCATAGCAGTATGAAAATGGACTAATACATATGTGGAGATTTTATTTTACATTTTTAGTTGTCTTTGACACAATTTATTCAATTATTGCTGTTTTGTTACCTAAATATCATTTTGTAATTGTAAAGAAAAAATGTAGTCATTATCTTGACATTTTGAATTATTTAAGTAAATATAGTTGTAAATAAAATGCCAAAATCTGTTAATAAATGAGTGTTAAAGAAGTTAGGGATTAAAAAATGACAGGAATACGCGAAAAGTTTTTGGTAAGGTTTTAACTCAAACTCTCTTTCATTGTGGCTTTGGGTAATTACTTAACCTTTCTAAGCCACAGAATATTGTTTGTAAAATAGGGCTAATAATAATAATCACTTAAGACATGCTTGAATGAGATAATTCATGCAAAGCTTTTAAACAGAGCAAATGATGAGTAAGTATTAAATATACTTGCTATTATATTATAGTTGTTTGTCTCGGAAAATAGTTTATCTACAATAGGATTGTATGAAAAATTAAATATTAGCATTAAACATTAAAAGAAATAGAAGAGAACATGGGTATATTTTAAATTTTAAGTTCAGAGATGGCTTTCAAAACATTACATGGAAAGAAAAATAATAAAGAAAATGTTAGTGGTAGTATCATTAACAATATAAATAACATATGAAGCATTATATCTCAGAAAACTTTTTAACTAAGAAAGGTTAAAATACATAATGCGATAAAACAGCAAATACATACGCACACAACTCAAATGTTCTGATAGCCACTTCTCCAACAAATGTCTCCAGTGAATGTGTCAGGGACACAGCAGAAATATTATTGCATAAAGTAGAAGCTCATTCAACATCTTGGAAGAAAATGAGTTACTTTTTTGCAAGTGCAACATAAGTGCACATCACCAATTCTGGAAACCACACTCCTTATCTTAAAGATCTAAAGAACTCATATTGATTGAAAGATTTGCAGTTTCCTTTACTTAAAATATTCATTTGAATTCTAGCCACTGAAAAGTCTGTGATATTTGGATAGACAAATAAAAATAAATGTTGCGTTTTTTTCTTCTTTTGAAAGATTAAATATGCGTTTTCATTAAGTTATTTATTTCAAACTAATGCAAATTGAGATGTGGAAAAGTTGACAAAGTATAAAATTACACAGCTTGCACAACAAGGAATTATGCAGCCCCCGACTGATTTCTCATCCTGCTGCCCAATCAACCTCATTTCCACTCAATTCTAGATTTTGCTCATCGCCCCAAACTTCCATTTTCATCTTCTCAGGAGGAAGCCTTGGTTTGGTAGAAACACGCATATAATGTGAAATCATGTAGATATATTTTAACAGTATTTTCTTGTCACAAAAGTTTAGAAAATAATTGTGGCTGGCATCTCTTTGAGTACTTGCATATCTGAGAAGGCCTTTCAGTTGCCTTGATAAGTAAAAGAGAGATTGGATCATTAGAGACTGTAGGCCCATTTAGTTTAATACAAAACTTTCTAGTTATTGCTCATTTATCTGCTGAGATTCAATATTATAGATAATAATAATTCTATTTATCTTTGTAGATAACATTGATTATTATTAATAGATTTTGAAAATCATCGGTGTTTATAAGATTCTTTACTTTTAAAATACCAAAAAGCAAACCAAAAGAGGAAAAAATGTTCTTCCACATGTCAGTTGCTCATAAAAATTTGCAAGTGTCTGTGATGTAGAGACTCCAGCCTTCAGCCTAGAAAAGGGTTGTATTACTGCAATTTCTAAATGACTTCCTATTTATTCACTTATTCCACACTTTTTATCCAAGTAATGAACATTCATTGTCTAAATTTTGTAACTACTCTCTTTAAATGAGTTTACTTCTTTGTCCTTTGTTTATAATATCTTAAGATTTACTTAATTATTTTTACACTTTCTGTTGTACATCCCCTCTATAATGATTGTGATGTTAATCACATTTTTTAAAAGTGTCCATTTCATGGTGTTATTTTAGAAAATATGTTAAATCAAACAGATTTGAGCTATTGTTTCTTTGTTCTGTAAAATTTTATTTTCCATTTTAAAAAGCACAAAGTCAAATCTATCTTCATCTATTCTGTTAATATGGTAATCCAAAAAGATCAGTGGTTACTTCAAAAGAACCATTTAGAGTCAAAATCCAGGGATCTTAGTCCTGTTTCCATGTTTTGTCCCTGTTGTTTCACTTGGTATGCCATGCTCTATTTCTTCTTCTGTGCAGATTTTAAGACAGTAGCCTTAAATCTGAAGAATTCCTTTCTCTGATGCCACCTTATTTTGGTTTTCTAAAATTCTTTTCTTAACTTTTTAGATATATAATGAGAGTCAGAGAGAGAGAGGAGAGGGAGAAGTACACATACATAAATAGGTTAGTTAGAGGTGCAGATATAGGTATACATAGACATAAATATGGATATGTACTCTCCCTTGATCTTGAGTATAGTGTTTAGTTAAAATCTCTGAGAACATAAAACAAATACTGTTTAAGTCTGATATCTCTTTTCAATAATATTTTTCAATAATACACTCTTACTTCTTTTTAAGTTTAATCATTTTTTTCCATAGTTTGATTCTATCTAGGAATTCTTTTCACATATTCCTATGTTTGGGTTTTCTAGTAACACGTTATTGTTTGAAGAGAAAAGTTGATATATGTCTGCCATATTCTTCAAAATATTTTCACATTATTTTCTTAGAAAACTTGTTTTTGACTAGAATAATATTAGTGTCTTCCTCAAAGATTTTAATATGGAGATATAGATGATCAAATTCAAGTTTAGCAGTTCAGTGATTCAGTGTCATAAAATGGGTGGAAGAAAGCAAAGGCTGAGTTCAACAGGGAATTGCTTCACCGTTTACATTCTTTTGCTTTTTCAGAATCCTTATACCAAGGATTAACTTTAATGATCAGTTTTTTTGTTTTTCATGGGGTGGGGGGATGATAACGGTCTAAGAAACACTGCTTCTTTGTAGCTAAAGTTTGTCCTGGCATTTCTTACTAGTAAACCATTTCAAAAATGATTTGATGTTAGAAAACTGCTGTGTTATGAACTTCTATGTTCCATAAAGACTTTCATATTTCTATAATTAGGCCTGCGCTTAGGCATCATTATAGAACTACTTCTCAATGAAGTTTTCAGTACCCTTTGTAACTCTCAGATATCTGCACGAAGGTAAAATGGGGGGTAGGGGCAAGTTTCATGAGGACTCTACTATTGCCTTTTCAGCAACAGTCAAGTTGCTACCTCAGGGAAGAAAGTAATGAGTTAACTCAATGAATTCTTTTCAGTCATTTGTTATTTGTATCACATCTAGCATTAAACCTTCAAAAATATTAAATTATAAGATTAAGGAAATTTATCTGAGCATCTCAGAAAGAAAAAAAATTGCAGGTTAAAATTTTTCTTTCATTTTTGATGGCATATGAAATACATGCTCACATATGTAAGTGCTCCAAAATATACCAGCTTTAAATTCTTGGAAAAAAATAACAAACAAAAACTTGAAAACATGCTCAAGGAGAAAAAAAGTTGACAGAAAACTCAGGAGTTTAGAATATGAAGAACACTGTGTTCCAAGGGAATAGAATACCGATAATCTTTTTTTTAAATTTCAATTTTTATTTTAGATTCAGGAGGTACATGTGCAGGCTTGTGACACGGATATATTGCATGATGCTAAGCTTTGGGGTACCATTGATCCCATCACCCAGGTAGTAAGCATAGTACCCAATAGTTAGTTTTTCAACTCTTACCCCACTTCCTCCCTTTCTTGTTGATGTGGTTTGGATTTGTGTCCCCACCCAAATCTCATGTAATCCCCAATGTTGCAAGAGGGGCCTGGGGGAGATGATTGGTTCATGGGGACAGATTTCCCCCTTGCTGTTCTCATGATAGTTAATTCTCATGAGATCTGGTTGTTTAAAAGTGCAAAGCACCTCCCACTTCACTCTCTTCCTCTTGCTACGGCCATATAAGACGTGCCTACTTCCCATTCCACTGTGACTGAAAGTTTCCTGAGGCCATCCCAGCCATGCTTTCTGCACAGCCTGTGAAACCATAAGCCAATTAAACCTCTTTTCTTTATGAATTACCCAGTTTCAGGTATTTCTTTATAGCACTTTGAGAATCAACTGATATACCTGTCTAGTGGTCTCCAATGTTGTTGTCTTTGTGTTCATAAGTACTCGATATTTAGCTCCCACTTATAAGTGAGAGCATGAAGTATTTGGTGTTTTATTCCTAATAACTCCCTTAGGATAATGGCCTCTAGCTATATCCATGTTGCTACAAAGGGCATGATTTAGCTCTGTCTTATGACTGCATGGGAAGGAATCTTTTTGAATTGTAAAACAAGGCTCTCACAACCAACCACCTTATTCCTTTCCCAGTAAAAAATTCAACTGGGTGAATACAAGACATGGTGGGTTCAGGTGGACTATAAACATATGGGAATCATTGGTGCAGAGGTGGAATTTCCAAATAAATGTGTGGCTGAGATTGACCAGAAAGAAAAAAAAAATAAGTGTAAAGAGAAAAGAGCTTAGGGTTGAGCCTTGGGAAACCTCAACATTAAATGAGCAAAGTGAAGCTAATGAGTCAGCAAAGCAGCCTGAGAAGGGGTGATCAAAAAGAAAGGAAATAGTAGGACAGGGTCCTTCCACCAAGGCTAGAGCAGAAGCGTGTCTTAAGAAGGACATGGTTAGCTTCTTGAAAGCCACTGATAAAGAAGGAGGGCATAGTAGAGGCCACTGACAGTTAATGTAAGATTGTACAGAGAAATATTCACTGCCCTTATGAACGTGAACTCCCTGGTAACTTCTGGGTGAGAAGTTCTGGTGATCTCTTAAAGAGTTAGAAATAAACTGCAATAAGTTGAGGAAGAATAGAGGGAGAGGGAATAGTGTAAGTGTGACACTTCTAGAAATCTGGCTATAATAGTAAGAAGCAAGACAGGCTAGTAACTGGGATGGAAATGAAAAGGAGGACTTAGTCTTCAAATATACAAGAGACTTGCACATAATTAAATGGAGGTAACAACAACAAACAGAGGGACAAGAATTTTAGAATATTAGCAAATGAGTTAGTGTAATTATGAGACAAAAGTTTCAGAATATTAGCGAATGAGTTAGTATAAAATTTACACTGGATAAGGAGAAAACACATAAAGAATAGAATAAGATTTAATATGAACTGTGTAGAAGGCTGATCTGTGATACATATATCTATAAATGCATATAAAATTGAAAACTGCTTGCTTTAAATTTGTTGATATTTCTAAATTTTCTCAGGTTTGCATGTCCTTTTATAATAAAAATATATTTTATCAGTATTTGTATGTGTAGGTGCATGGCTATGTAAAATGTGCAAATAAAAACACTTGAAAGAGATATTTCAAGTATACTTTTGTTGGAAAGTGGAATTTTGAGTGATTTCTTTAGTTTTTTTGTCTTTTTAGAGATTTTCTACAATAAATGTATACTAATTTGATACTAAATACATGCGTTATTTTTAAAAGGGCACCCTGACCTTAGCAGAAATTGTAGCATCTAAATTTGTTTTTATTGCTTTATTCTAGCTCCTTTACATAATGCAGCTTGTAAACCATTGTTTAGAGATTTCCTATGGCCTGTCAGTGTAAGAAATAAATGGGCACATTTATGAGGTATTAAAATGGAAGTAGCTAGTAGTACTTACACAGAATTTGATTAGTAGTTCAATCAAACTACTAAGATTTTGACTGAGATTCTCTCAACTTACTCCAAAACCTGTAAAATACAGAGAAACAAATAGATGAATTTTAAAATGTTTTCAGAATCTGAAAGTAAGTTTCACTAACTGTAATCCTGATCACTTGGGAATAAGTAAAACAGCTGTTGCTATGCCTGTTGCGTCTCATGACATGGATTAACCCCTGAGCACCTGAATAATGAAGGTGAAGAAGTTTGTGTTTCCTACTTTAGCCCTTGAATCTAACAGCCAGCTTCCATATGGAAGGTCATTTACTGGGATTCTTTTCCTTACATAAATCTAGGTGAAATATGAGAAACTTTCCCCAAATTTGCAACATAAAATGGAAACAGTATCATGTTCTCTTACACGAGGTCAGTGTAGGGTTAGATGATGCTGCAGCTCTCACAAAGGGTTGAGGATGTACCAGCTCCCACTGTTGTTTCAGAATATTGAATTTAAAAATAAGAATATATAGTTACAAAGAAATACCGATTTTTTTCTCCTTCCTACTTTCCTTTTATTTGTAATTTGTCTAAGTTTGAACAAAGTTTTTCTAAGTATGGAGGAAAATCAGAAGAAGAAGTTCAGAACTTTTGACACCTGTATCATTCTCTCAGCCACCTACACATTCTTTCCAGAGCATGGATACTTTTTCACTCAAGATATAAACCCTGGCCTGGGGGTTTGTGGTACAGAGATCTATCTGTCTTGCAGCTACCTGAGAACATGTTTCTGTCTGTAATTTCCCCTTCATAAGTCACTCAACACCAACAAACTGGATTTGTCTGTCTCGTTCTTTGCTTTCTTGACTCCTTTGGCATTCAGGAGTCACTTTGTGTAGACAGTCCTTTCCGGGAACAACGTGATTATATTTATCAAGAGAAACACTTAACAAGACCCTCTAAAACACTTATCAAGTGTGACAAACATAATATTTTCAAGACTGTTTAGTCCAGTAATTCAACATTTAGAAATGTATTTTAAGGTAATAATTAAAGATTCATACTTGTGCATATCTGTGCAAAAATCTATTCATGACATAATTGATTATAATGTTAAACATTGAAAATCCTCTAAGTTTCTAGAATTTGTTAAGAAAACAATGCTACATAATTATGAAATAAAATGGAGAGTATTAAGCCGTGTTTTCAAATTATTTTTTATGGAAAAATAGTTACTAAAACATAATTTTAAAGTGAAAAAGAAGATCCCTAACTATGTATTTAAATACTTCTAATTTTGCAAAGAAAGTATATAAACACGTGGTATTTGTAAAATTTTTTTATATAGAAAGGAATTACCTTTCAGTGGCTGAGCAAGAGTAGCCAAAGTCTTTTTAATATAATTAATAGCTGTAATTATTTATTGAGTCAGAAATACAATGACTCAAAGTCTCTTGAATAATATCTTGACAATATTGAGTGAATATAGGGAAAACTAGGCTGAATATAGTACGCTATAAAATTTGGGAACCAAGAGGCTGTTGTGGTGGCTTTATATTGTGTCAGTTTAGGTAAACTGGAAATTCATTTACTGGGATTCTTTTCCTTACATAAATCTAGGTGAAATATGAGAAACTTTCCCCAAATTTGCAACATAAAATGGAAGCAGTATCATGTTCTCTTACACAAGGTCAGTGTAGGGTTAGATGATGCTGCATCTCAAACAAAGTGTTGAGGATGTGCCAGCTCCCATTGTTGGCAGCCGGACCTGCAGCCCCTGAAGTAACTACAGATCTCCTACTTCTGCTTTGCACAGTCCTAGGCTAGGTTCCTGTGCAGTTCCATGATGGACAGTGCCAACTTCTCTGTCGGTTACCTGCATCATTCAAGTTGAAGACCTGCAGGTGACTAGTGACTGATTTCTATTCCAGAGAAAGGTGTGGGTTTCAGTTATATTTTCATAGGTTCATTTATTCCTGTGGGTTCTATTTTGTACTATTGTATTCTTACTTTTTCTCACATCATGTCTATTCCCAACTGCCAGCCCTGCTACCTCAGCCCTTGTACCACACTCAGGTGCAGCAGAGTGACACAGACCGCTTAACCAGCTCCCACGATCATATAAGGTTTAATCCCTCCTTGTAGTCTACTGGGTCAGGCCTAGTAGTCAGTGTCTCTGAGTGAATCCTAAAAAATACAGCCACTAATGTACTACTCTTGTTTGATATTCCCATTTATCAACAGTAACTACTTATCCCTGTGAATGGACCCATCAATTATCATGAATGACATAATACATCTATGCTCGTTTAGCAAAAGTAAATGACTATAAATATACTGTTGTATTCAGTCTTTGAAGGTGGTCATGGTGTAGACAAGCCACTGTTATATAAGGAATATAACAATCTGATTTTTGAAAGTAATGGTAAAATTTTTTTTAACAAATTTTTTTATCACTCTTCCTCCCTACCCCTCATTCCTCTCACCTGCTCACAAACATGTATGTTCTTAGGGTGAGTTCCCTGTCTATTCTGACATATTCTAGGAGTTAGAAATGCTTATCCATAGTGTGCTAAAAAATTATGATATCAATTCTGTTTTCCCCCTTATTTGGTTGAGAAAATATTCCCCCAAATCATTGATATTTTACTTTTCGACTGACATACGTATATTCTTCTTAGTTTCTAACTTTACCACTTCTTGAAGAGTAGGAATTCCCTGCTTTCATGAGTTTGGATTTTATTTAGGCAAATTCTATCATGGAGGGAAATATTCTCAGACATGCCTGTTTCCCTCTGATGATGAGGAGTTTCTTAAAATTTTTCTGAATTGGCAGAAAAGCTAGTGTTTAAAATTGTTTTTCTACTTGCACATTGCTCTTTATTCTTTGCACAGTGTGGAAAATTGATTCAGTACTCTCTGGAGTTGTCAAGAGAAAAAGGGGATCTTTGTATCAATGAGATTTCTTTCTGGAGACATGATTAATTTTTCTGGAAGTCAGGGCATGTTTCAGATAAATAGCTTTAATTTTGAGTGTGGTTCATAAATCATAAGAATAAGAAAGTCTGGAATACATAATGCAAAATAAATGATTAAGTGAGAAAATCAAGATCTCTTGTTAGAAAACACAAAACCATTTATTTAAAAAATCAGAACAGGGAAAACATGCATATAGAAATCATGGTTGATCGTCTATTTCTATAGAAATCTGAAAAATCAAGTGTCACCTCTGAATAGTTAAGCTGTGGTGGACTTTACTTTTCTATTTAACAATGCACAAAGCCTTACATTGTCCTTCCTTTGTCCCCAGTTTTATTGGTAGACCTCATTACAGTACTAACTCAATATAATTGATAATAATTAAGTACTCATGAATGTTTGCGATATTGCACTAAATGTAGAAGCAGAGAAATGCTCTGTTATTATCAAGTTGAATACTAGAAATATTTTGTTATAAGTGGTTTAGCCCTGAAGGATTATACAGTTATTTAATTATTTTTTTCAACCAAAAATCTAAAAATAAACACAATTCTTATTTATTTATTTTTTGAGACTGAGTCTCACACTCTCACCCGGGCTGGAGTGCAATGGCGTGATCTCGGCTCACCTCAACCTCTGCCTCCCGAGTTCAAACGATTCTCCTGCCTCAGCCTCCCGAGTAGCTGGGATTACAGGTGCCCATCACCACTTCTGGCTAATTTCTTGTGTTTTTAGTAGAGACAGGGTTTCACTATGTTGGCCAGGTTGATCTCAAAATTCTGACCTCATGATCTGCCCCCCTCGGCCTCCCAAAGTGCTGGGATTACAGGCGTGAGCCACTGTGCCTGGCCAAATACAATTCTTCAGATGTAAAACTTGCTTCAATTCGGTTAATCCACAGATTTAATCATGGAAAACATCAAGTCTCTGATTAAAGGACAAAGGTTATTTTATTGTTAATACTACATAGGATTAAATACAACCAATATATGTACATCTTGTTATTTGCAGGATTCATGGCCTGTAAAGTCACCCTGAATACTGAATTAGTGAATACTCAACTATTGCTCCAAGGAGTAATACAGGGTTAGGTTCTTGCAGGCCTCTGGTTACATTGTTAGTGGTGGCAAATCTGTACGGGTCTTCAACAACCTCAATTCTTCCCTCCACGGAAGAAAGAATTCAACTGAGGGGCATGGTGCAGAAGGAGAGACCAAAGCAAGTTTTAGAGCAGGAGTGAAAGTTTATTAAAAAGCTTTAGAGCAGGAATGAAAGGAAGTAAAGTATACTTGGAAGAGGGCCAAGCGGGCGACTTCAGAGATCAAGTGCACAGTTTGACCTTTTGTCT
Source organism: Homo sapiens (assembly GCF_000001405.40). Lineage (NCBI taxonomy): Eukaryota > Metazoa > Chordata > Mammalia > Primates > Hominidae > Homo > Homo sapiens. Next base: position 31,472,175 of record NC_000009.12, on the reverse strand, counting down.
TGGGTTTTATATACTGGCATGTTTTTGGGGTTTTGCATTCCTTCTTTCCTGATTCTTCCCTTTGGCCGGGCTGTCTGCATGTGCAGTGACCTGCTAGCACTTGGAAGAGGGGCATGTGCAGTCTGTTTCTGGAGATGTATGCATGCTCACTTGAGGTGTTATTCCCTTACGGGTCACATGTCCCTAGGAGGTCATATACCAGTTAAACTCTGCCATTTTTTCTCTTAATGCACATGCTTGAGCCTACTGGCCCAGCTACTGAGATCTTATTGGAAAGCTGGCGATCACCAGTTTCAGGTGTTTTAGTTTATTGGGAGACTGCCTTTCCCTGGTGCTGGCTGGGACCAATTATTATTTTAAAAGCAGGGGGTCCCTCTCCTCCCCTGCTCATATCTAACTAGCTACCTACTGTAACAACAACATTTTTGTCAGCTGAAACACCATTTGCATTATATTGGTTTGGTTGCCAACATCCTTGTAAAACAAGCTGGGCTTCTCTTCCCCAAAACCCTCTTCCTGTATAACACCAAACAGGTATTAAAAATTCTCTGCAGTTTCCTGATCTGCAGAACCTGCCTCACTTGTAAGTTTAACATTTTTCATATCATATCGCCGTTTGAAACATGTAAGCCATCCTTCCCTAGTAGAGAAAGGTTTACTATTTTCCTGACTCTGGGTAATGTGACCATGAATTATTTTGGCTTTCAGCCTCACAATAATGCTGTCCAAATATGCTTTTTTTTAAAAAAAAAATCTCACTATCTCATCATCTCATGCATCTACACATTTAGCCACTTTTTAATATTTTCCATAATTCGCCACATACTGTAGGTGTTATTTCAGCACATTTTAGGCAATCTCACATACATATTGGCAAATTTCCTCTTCCTGTCTCTGTTTGTACCACAGTGTTGATGCATTAGCATTGAATGCGCAGACCATAGCACTATAACTCATGCCTGAACAAAGCTTATCGAGTACACGTGTCTGCTCTGCAAAGCACATCGCATCCTTCTTGTGCCAGGAACACCGGACAACACTTCAGCACTATCCTTTGGTGCCACTGTAAACAGCAAAATCACCAACAAAAAGCACAAAAATGTGAAAACATGACACTGAATAGACTACCGAAAGGACACATAATTACAATGGGAGAGCTCAAACAAAAAGGCAAGTGTTGCCTTGTCAACCTCCTCTGGGAAGGTGTGCATAGAATGACTCAAATTTACCCCCACTCTGAGCATGTCTTCAAATAGCTGTGGAGGTTACAAATACATTTTATTGATTAGGTGACTTTACAAATATGGAATCCCCCAATAATGAGAATTAATTGTATTAAGATAAAGATCCAAGGGAAAAGGAAATCTTGTTCATCACGCTTAACTGTTAAACAAAGTTTTGTATATGCCGGCATTCTTCTTTCCTATTGGAGATTGGGGTGTGTGTGTGTGTGTGTGTGTGTGTGTGTGTGTGTGTGTGTGCGCGCTTGTGTGTGCGTGCTTGTGTGTGCAGTGGTTCAAATTATTTTGTGGTTTTTCTTATGAATACATAAGGGAAGATAGAAGTTTTGTGAGTGTTGAACTGGAATAGGATCTTTTTAAATATAAAATATGGACAGAAACTACAACAAAAAAAGTACTTTTATTTCTAGAACTTTTTTTCTTTCATGTTTTGAAATTTTTATTATTCCCTCTATACTAAGTATACTTTGGTAATTGTGGCAATTTACTTTACACATGTACCTTGAGAAACTGTTAATTTGTTCATGCATTCTGCAAAGGTATTGAAAGCTTCTCGGGTTAGGCAAAATTTTCTGAGATAGGAATGTCAGAGCAACTCCATCTTAAATAGGAGCTGGGTAAAATGGGGCTGAAACCTACCTGGCCGCATTCCCAGACTGTTAAGGCATTCTAAGGCACAGGATGAGATAGGAGGTCAGCACAAAATACAGGTCATAAAGACCTTGCAGACAAAACAGTTTGCAGTAAAGGAGCTGGCCAAAACGCACCAAAATCAAAATGGTGACAAAAGTGACCTCTGGTCGTCCTCACTGCTATACTGGCAGCAACGCCATGACAGTTTACAAATGCCATGGCAACTGCAGCAAGTTACACTATATGGTCTAAACAGGGGAGACAGGAATGGTCTATCCCTTGTTTAGCATATCATCAAGAAATAACCATAAAAATGGGCAAACAGCAGCCCTCAGGGCTGCTCTGTCTATTCCTATGGAGTAGTCGTTCTTTTATTCCTTTACTTTCTTAATAAACTTGCTTCCACTTTGCACTGCGGACTCACCCTAAATTCTTTCTTGCATGAGATCCAAGAACCCTCTCTTGGGATCTGGATCTGGACCCCTTTCCTGTAACATATTTCTGGCAACCATAAAGGGACTATAGTGCAGAAACCCTGACCCAACAGCTATTTGGGTAAGTGTTGGGGTCCTGTAACATATTTCTGGCGACGACAGAAGTGACTATACTGCAGAAGCCCCCGACCCAAAGGCTAACTTTGGGTAAGTGGTGAGGTCTGGTAACAATTTTCTTGTGAACCACAAAAAGAACAATACTGAGGAGACCCCTCCCGACCCAAAGGAAGTAGACTGCAGCACTGACTGGATGACTTTGGGTAAGTGGTGGGGTACCAGGGTAAAGAATAGGTTTGAGTTAGAGGCCCAGCTAAGATGGAGGAGTTAGAGTCCCTTCTAAGATTTAGGGGGTTAGAGCCCCCCTCAGTAAAGTCCCTCAGCTAAGAACAGGTTCGTCTCTATGGGATGTTAACCGCTATTCTCTTTGGATTAATCTGCCCTGTACTCTGCTGATGTCTGTGGGTGACAGGGTTAGGTGTATACAGGATCGCAGGACATGGGGAGTTTTTTCCTCACTAAAAGGGGAAACTTGAGAGCTGATCAGACTACTGGACAAGATCCCTTTGCTACCAACAAGTGGCCTCTTGAACTTTTCATTGTCGGCTGCAATGAGTGGGTCTTTTCTCTGGCCTCCCTAAGCTCTTCACCTTCCCCACCCTGCCACAGGCAATACTTTCTTTCTCTCATTTCCTTTTCCTATCTTTTTTGCTACTCGGGTCAACCATCTTGCCTAGAGATCATGTGTTGAAACTCCAAGTCGGAGGTTGGATTAGAAAGATGATGGGGCCCATCTGGGGGCAAATTTAATCCTTACCAGTTTGATATTGGATTCTAAGCAGACTGGTTAATATCTGCATTTTATCACACATATTTTTCTCTGGCTAGAACAAAAAAAAAATTATTTTCCTTTATGATGTTGCTTGGCCCCCAGAGCAATGGTGCCACAAGCCAGATCACTAGGGCTGCTCAGGGAAAGGGAACCCCGAAGCCTGGCATGCTGGCAAAAGGGTAAGAATTTCTTACCAGTCAGATTCCTGGCTTGTCTCTCTCTCTGCATATGGTTGAATGAATGGTTAAAAAAGTCAGTGTTTATCTCCTCTGCAAAGTTTGATTAATGCGAAAAAGAATTCTAAGGCTGGTCTTAAGCTTGTGTATTTTGTGCTGTGAATTTGTTTTTCTGTGTCAAGGGGTACTTCAGAATAAAACATGGGCCTAGAACACCTGTAAGCCCACTTTTTAAGATGACCCAGCCAGCTGGTCAGCAACAAACTTGGCTGCAGGTCCATGAAACAAACAAAAAATTTGCATGAAGTATCCACCTTGTTTTATGTCCTTGGGAGCTTGACCTTTTAACCCTGTGGCGGTACACTTTCTTGGTCTCTGCCTTCTAGGAAACCGGAATTTTAGGGTTCATGTCATAGTTAGCGCTAAAAATCATATTAACTAGTTAAAAGACTTTGCAAGCTCCAAATTAACTATTCTAGACCCCTTCTGGGGAAGGAAATGGAGACTGCCCCATGCTGTAGCTCAGTAGCTATGGTTTTGTACTTTCACAGTGGCAGTTCGGGTTCATTTCCCCACTTAAGAAGTAAGTCGTTTCTGGGTTAGTACCTGTGTGACCTTGCCTATTCTTTTCTCCTCCATGGACTGCCTTAAATTTTCCTTTCTCTAAGCATCTGGGAGGTTACCTTTGGTAGAGTTCAAAAGCCAGAAATATTGGCTGTTTGGCGTAAGAAATTCTAAAAGCACTTTATTAAAGAGTGCTGTGGTTAAAATCAGCTTAATGAAAAGCAGATATTCAAGCTCTAACAGCCTGGACTCCTTGGGAAAAACAGGAGGCACAGAGACTCCTTTCCTGATGCTATTCTTCCAAGGGCTCCACCCTAAAGACAGTAATCCAATTAAGAAACTTAAAAACTGGCAAATGAAAAATCTTATAACTACTGTAGTAATCTTCTGTCTTCCTGTGTAACTGTGTATGTGTTGTATGTAATGTTTATATAAAAGAGCTCCAATTAATTGGCTTAAACAAAAATAAGTGCTTAAATCAAATATTTTGAAAGCAAAATAAAAACTGTAATGTCTTTTAGTTCATGTAACTTTAGTAATCTTTGGGAAATAAAAATATCTTTAAAAATTATTGATAAAAACATTTAGTGTAAATGATGCGGGTCAGATATTGTTTGCTAAATGCTTTAAGGTCATTAACTGCATCTTTAACTTTTAAAAATTATTCAATTTACCTCTAGATAAGGCTTGGGGACATGTGGAATTAGCCATGCTCCCTGGCTATACAAGAAGATTATAAAGAAAGAGATTTTATATAAGAAAGGATCTTGTAAGGTAAATGTTGGCCCTAAAGTAAAATCACTGGTTGTTTAAAAGAAGGGACATTTAGGGCAAATCAGAAAGTCCATGAATGTCTCACATGGTCTGTGCAAGTTGTGAAAGGATTTGTGAACGGGAATTTATGCAAGAAATGTTGCGCTATTCAAAGGTTGTTAGGCTTCCTAAATGCTTCATTAAATGCCATTATGACTCTTACCGTACAACTTGCCTGCTTAGGTAAGGTAAGGCCTGGGGACATGTGGAGTTAGCCACGCTCCCAGCTATGCTGGAAAGACAGCCCTTATCTGCACTTCTCCCTGGTGTGTTCTAGGCTAGGCTCCACACCTAGTATATAATTAGAATTGCTTGCTAACCAGAGTTTTTGCCAAAAGTAAAAGTTGCTAAAAGTTAACATTGTAACACATAATTGAGACTATTGAAGAAACAGTTTTATGTGTAAGGTGTGTAAGGAAAGTGGAATGTACTTTTGGTAAAATATTATAAGGCACAGGAATGTGCACTTTTTTGCCTAAAGGTTTAAATAATTGTTTTAAGTTAGAGAGAATAAACCTAAAGGTTTGAACAGTTGTGGAAGATGTGTAAAAAATTAATTGTAGAAGAGATTCTGTGTGTGGACATTGGTTAGATTAAAGGGGTATTATTCAGTTTTTCTATAAATTAAACATTGGAATAAAAGCACAGTAGATTTATCTTAGAGCAAAAACCTGCTTATGATCTGCTCTTTAACAAAAACTTGTAAATGATTATAAAGGTTTATGAGAATCTTACCTTATGGTCAAACTGATTGAGATTGGATAGATTTATTTACACAGTTTTGTTAACAATTGGGTTTGACATCAATAATGCACTAAAGCAAGAGTGACATTTGGCTTATTTGGTACAAAAATCATACATTGTCAAATACAAAATGGTGTTTAGTTTTCTTTGGGCCATATTTGTATAAATGTGTTATTGGCATATATTCCAAAATTATGGGAAACTCCTATAATTCTGATATACTTGGTGTACATTATCAGTAATAATTATAATTATTACATAAAATCATTGTATGCCACAGAGGTAACAAATTTCCTTGTCAATTATTTATTTGACTGTGGCTGCCCTAAAATGTTTTGTCAGCCACAGACAATTGTTACCTTGTTTTAATCAATTATAGAACTCTTTAGAAGGTGGTTTATAATCAATTATAGAACTCTAGCAGGTGTTCTTAAATGCAGGTTTTTCTGATAACTTTAAAGATTTTAACATCAGAATAGAGGAAAAAGTTTCAGGACTCTGATGGAGAACTGAAATATTCATAAATATCAAGCAAAACAGGAGTTAACTAAATTCATTGAACCAGTAAAAAACTGAAGTAATCTTTTAAAATTTGCTTAAAACATTGCTGATACTTTGTTTTGGTTTTCAGAGTCAAGGAAACTTTTCTTTTGAGCTGTTTACAGCTTTTAACAGTTGAGTATACTCCTATAAATGAAATTTGGAGCATATTTGTTCCTCTCTACCTGATTTCTCCAGAATTTGGAAACTAGTTGTAAGTATTCTTAACTTATGGCAATATAGTTATTTGCATAAGGACAATTAGAATCTGTTTTCTTTTGTAACAGGACACAGTAGAATAAATTGGCTATTTTACCAAGGCTTTGACTGAAATGGTGTGCTTTCCTTTAAGAAATCAAACTTAACTTGTAGAGCTAATAAAAGCCCTTTGTGGAGCTGGCCTCATACCTTGCCTACACAGTCCCTGTACAGGGTTTCTGATCTATGGTAAGTAAAGAATGTCACTTTCTTGCAGGTCCAGGAGCCCCTAGTTATCTTGGCACCTCAAGAGGAAAGAAATTTACCCAACTCATAGGTATTTGAGGGTACAAACCCATGGCTGGGCTCAGCTTTAAAAAAGTCTTATCTGAAATTCCATCTATGGAACAGAATTCTATCAAAGCCAATTTAGAAACAGCTTATGTGAAAAATAATTATTCTTGCTGCACTTTATACAAATAATTAGGCCAAGTATAATAAAACAAATCAGTCTTACCGTGATTTGTCTTTAGTAAAAACGGGAAACTGGAGAGAGAAATACTGTGTTTCAAAAACTATCATATACTTGTTATTAGAGTCTAGTCTCATCAGTTGTTTCTAAGTTTGTTTCTGCAATTTAGGCTAACCCTTTTTATTACTGTGAACCAACCAGTGATCTCTGACTGTTGCTCAGAAGAAACATAAGCAATGAATAATGTGAAAATCTGGATCAGTATTCTCATTCTGGGAACACTGCAATCAGCTAACAATGCCATATCAGCTTAGTCCCAACAGTTGCCCAGTTCATGAAAAGTCTTCTAATTTATTTTACTTGGAATAGCTTTACCTATTTTGCTTTACTTTTGTGGAATACATTGCTATTATACTCTTTGTGTAGGAATACAGGACAAGCTTACTGAATGTTTTCTTAAACACTTATGAATCTTGCAGGTATCACCTTTTGTCAAAACTCAAGAGTTGCGAATGGATCTTACCATATTGATAGTATTTGACTGAGCTCCTCTCTACCCTGAATGCAAGAGACCCTCATAATTAGACAGGAATATCATTGCCCCTACCCAGCCTGAAGAAGTTACAGAAGGTAGATCCTTGTCCCTCTGCAACCCTTAGGATTAAGGGTTCTCTTATAAAAGGGAAGGGGGAAATGTCAGAGGCATGTAAACCAGAGCAACTCTATCTTAAATAGGAACTGGGTAAAATGAGGCTGAAAACTACTGGGCTGCCTTCCCAGACAGTTAAGGCATTCTAAGTCACAGGATGAGAAAGGCGATCAGCACAAAATACAGGTAAAAACAGGTTGCAGTAAATAAGCCAGCCAAAACCTACCAAAACCAAAATGGCAAGGAGAGTGACCTCTGGTCATCCTCACTTCTACACTCCCACCGATGCCATGACAGTTTATAAATGCCGTGGAAATATCAGGAAGTTACTCTATGTTGTCTAAAAAGGGAAGACATGAATAATCCACCTCTTGTTTAGCATATCATCAAGAAGTAACCATAAAAATGGGCAACCAGCAGCCCACAGGGCTGCCCTGTCTATGGAGTAGCCATTATTTTATTACTTTAGTTTCTTAATGCGCTTGCTTTCATTTTGCACTGTGGACGCACCCTAAATTCTTTCTTGCATGAGATTCAAGAACCCTCTCTTGGAGTCTGGATCCAGACCCCTTTCCTGTAACAGGAATACCAACCAAAATGGAGAAATAGGAAACTCCAGGGTTCTGCCTCTACAAAAGCAGCAAATGAACTGGCAAAACCGTCAAAATCAGCTTTTGTAGAACCCTGAAATCTAGTCAAACACAACTAAGAGAAGGCTTGTTGAAAAACAAGATGCTGCCTTACAATGAGAGAGTATTGTGGCGTTTTAAATTCTTCCCCTACCGTCACCCACATCCCAGATCTTGGTGGCCTTGAGGAGGCAGTCCATATTTTAAGAAGCACTGGTTAGCAGTTTTATAGAATGTCGCATGATTTCTCATGAAGTTTTTTGTGAAGTGTTTTTCTTGTTCCTATCAATATATATTTCCTGGCCTCTTTAAACATTTTTATTTGTTTTTAGTTTTCTGCAATTTGAATATGATATGCTTAGGTATAGTTTTTTTGGGGTATTTGCTGTCTATTATTAAGTTTGAAACTTTTTTTCCAATTATTCAAATATCCAAATATTTCTTCTGCTTCGTTATCTTTGTTCTCCTTCTCCTATTCCAATAATGTAAACATTGTATCTTTCAAAATTATCTCTATTACTTAGATCTTAATTGTTTTTCATTTTTCTCTTTGCATTTCAACTTGATTTTACTAACAAGTTTCCAAGCTTGCTCACTACTTCTTGGGCCATGCTGATTCCACTCATAACCCCATTGAAGTCATTCTTTATTTTTGTTTTTTTTTTCTTATTTCTATCATTTCATTTAGAGTCTTCTTGTAATTTCCATCTTTTATTACATTACTCAACTGTTTTTGTATGTTGTCTATTATGTTTTCTACTTAATATATTGGTCATAGTTGTTTTGAATTTTCTCTGATAATTTCAACATCTATGTTACATCTGAGTTAGGTTACAATGATTATTATTTTTGTTTTGACATTTGGTGTGCCTCATACCTTTTTTGTCAAAAGTCAGATAAATTTTATGAGGAACTGAGCTAAAGAGGGCTCTGATATGTAAGATTTATATCAATACAGGAAAGGGGTCTGGATCCAGACCCCAAGAGAGGGTTCTTGAATCTCGTGCAAGATATGTAAGATTTATATCAATATGGGTGGGAGTGGGCTTTGTTTAATATTTGCTGCAGCTATAGGTTCCAGGGACTCCAATTTCTTCTAGTGTCCTTTTGTCCTCTTCTCTTGACTTTGCACTTCCCTGTGTATTCCCATTCAGAGAGAGTCTGTGTCTTGCAGCTTTTTCAGCTCTGGTCTACTATTATTAAACTGGATCCCTGTTTGTTGTCCAATAAGATATGAGGGAGAGTGTGCATTTTATAATATTTGAATTAAATCTCAGTGTTTTAGTGGGTCTGCCTATCTGGCCTGTGCCCTTCACCAGTATTTTTTCTTGTAGAGAATCTCCCCATCTTGGGTGAAATAGGAAGTCTAGATGGCATTGGAAATGGGAGAAATGTATCTCCCTGATGGCTCTGAGACAGGCTCTAGTAAAGCCTTCCCTCCAGTAGAGAAGGATTTGCTGTGGAGAAATCTTTGAGTGTATTTCAGAAGAATTATCTTTCCCATCTCTGCCAGATCACAGAAATAATTTTTTGGATCTCCACCTTGAGAACCTAACAGGTTTCCTGGATGTAAAACATATGAAATAGTGGGCCCACAAGAGTATCCAATTCTCAAGCTGGTCTACACTCAAGCCTCCAGTTATTCATCAAAATTACTATTTATGTGTTCTTACCAGTTCATGGCTCTGGTTGCAACTGGTACAAATAAGCAGATTTCAGCTGTGACTCTGGATTTGCCTGTTTTGCTTGATTTCAGGGTGACAGTTTGCTCTGCATGCACAGCTTTCTATAGCTCCAAGAAAATACATTGATTTTCATTTTTTCCATCTTTTTCTTATAAGGATGAGAGTAATGACTTTTTAGCTTCTTCATATGGGAGTTGACCCTAGAAGTTTTTATTTTTTTAAGTATGTGTTTTAACTTCCAAATATTTAGAGGTTTCCGAGATATCTTTTATTTATTAGTAGTTTAATTCAATTGTGGTCTAAGAACATAATATGTATTACTTCAATTATTTTAAATGTGTTAAGCTGCGTTTATGGTTGACAATGTTTCTATATTAGGCTATGTTTTATGAATGTTTGAAAAAAATATGTATTTGGCTTTTGTTGGATGGAGTATTCTACAAATGTCAATTGTACCAAGTTGATTGATAGTGCTATTCATATCATTTATACCCTTATTGATTTTTTTTGCCTGTATCATCTATCAATTACTGACAGAGAGGTGTTGAAATTTCCAATTATAATGGTGAAGTTTTCTATTTTTCATTTCATTTGGCTTTTGAACCAACTTAAATATAAAGACTGGTAGATTAAAAGGAAAATCATGCAGATAGTTGTACCATGCTAACATTAATCAAATGGAATCTAGAATAGCTATATTAACTTCAGACAAACACATTTTAGAATGAGTTTTATTAGGGATAAATAACAGAACTATAAATGATACAGAAATTGATTATTCAAGGCGATATAGCTATTGTAAACATTTATGTATTTGACAACAAAACATCAAAATAGGTGAATCAAAGATGGAAATGTAGACAATATGTAGTTGTGTCTACTTTTCATCAATTTTGGAAGCTTGATGATTGCTATTTCTCTCCATACTGTTTTGGCTTTGTCATGACTGCCTTTTGTCATGCCTTGCAATATTTTCTTGAAAGCCACATGTCGTACCAGGTAAAAGGAGGTAAAGAGGACTTTAATGTGATGAATGTTTTCACTCTAAGAGGTGAGCTCTGTTTAATATTTGTTGTAGCCAAAGTTGCCACAGAGGCTTCCAATCCCTCTACTGTTTTTGCTTTTGTCTTTTCTTCTAAACTTTGGGCTTCTGCAAGTACTCCTCAGAGAGAGTCACTGCCTTCCATCCCTTTCAACTGTTATCTAACAATATACTGAAGCCTTCTGATGTCTCAGTGAGGTGTATGTGTGGGGGAAGGGCATGCTATTATTTTCTAAATAATTGGTCTTTGAGTGGCCCTGTGTCCTGGGACTATACTCTTCACAAATGTTTTTCCAGTGGAGTAGTTCTTACCTCAGTTTTCTCTGTACTTCCTTTCCTTACTGCAGCATTTCCAGTTTATTTCCGGAAAGCACCAATCCCTGTTGATTATACATTTCTCTGCCTTTTTTTGTTTTTGTTTTTTTTTGATGGAGTCTTGCTCTGTCACTCAGGCTAAAGTGCAGTGGCATGATCTCGGCTCACTGCAACCTCTGCCTCCCGGGTTCAAGCGATTCTCCTGCCTCAGTCTCCAAAGTAACTGGGACTACAGGCACGTGCCACTACACTCAGCTAATTTTTTTTATTTTTAGTAGACACGGGGTTTCACCATGTTAGCCAGGATGGTCTCGATCTCCTGACCTTGTAGTCCGCCTGCCTTGGCCCAAAGTGCTGGGATTACAGGCGTGAGCCACCACGCCTGGCCTCTAGGCTTTAGATGAGACAGGATGTTTACATGAGGATGGAGTGAGAGGAATCACCTTCCTTCAGCTGGAATAAGAATTTGGCAAAGTTTTTCTCCTGAAGAGTAGATCTTTGTTATGAACAAGGCTCTGGATGTATTTCACAATGACTACTGTTTCTTTCTCGCTACCAGAGCCCAGTGAGAACTTTCTAGTATTCTCCTCACAAGATGCCGTCTGTACCAAATACTTTTCCTGCAATCCTGGAATTTTACACTGAATTAAATGAATCAGGAGTGCTCATATAATGAATACAGAAAATGAGAAACTCAAAGCTATCCTCCATAATTTTTAAATAAGTTTACAATGTACAAACTTTTATGGGCTTAATTGTAGTTTTAGAAAAACTTGAATTTTTTTCTAAATTCGACCCAGACTCCTCAAGCTAAAGCCCAAAACAGTGAGGGGATCCCCTAAGACTGACTCCACAAAGTTCCTCACTTGCATGTTAGTCTACCCTCAGCCACTAGCTACTTGCCAAAATTGCCATTTATGTGTTTCTAAGGCTGCCTTGACACTGCCATAAATTATGTGACAATGGAAATTTGTTCTGTCACGGTTCTGGAGAGTAGAAGGCTGAAATAAAGGTGTTGGCAGCTCATCCTCCCTCTCTGAAACCTCTAGAAAAGGATCCATCATTGCTTCTTCTAGATCTTGATAGCTCAAGGAATTCCACTGGGTTAGGGCAGCATGACTGCAATCTCTGACTCTATCGTTACATGACCGTCTTTCCTCTGTCTGTGTTTTCACGTCATTTACTTCTCTCTTATAATCCAGTCATATCAGATTAAGGGTTCACCTTAATGACTTCATCTTAAATTGATTATATTTGGAAAGATCCTCTTCCCAAATAATACCATTTTCACAGATACTTGGAGTTAGGACTTCAATATACCTCTTTTTCTAGTATAAAATATAACAGGTAACAAATGACTTCTGTTTCAGGCAAGCAGATGTAAGCTTTATCTGTCTAGGTACCCCTGTCTCTCTGGATTTGGGGATGGCAGTTTACCCTCCCTCAATGCTCTGCTTGGTCTAAGAAAAGCTATTGATTTTCAGTTTGTCTAGATTTTCTTTGTTTCAAAGACAAAAGTGACAATTTCCAAGCTCTGTGTGTCAGAACTGAAACCATAGAAGTCTTGTGGCTCAATTTTAACTCATATCATATAGTTTTCTACATTTTCAAATTCATAAATTTCATGATCATCAGGTTAATACATAAAATTTAGTGTTACATTTTTACTACCTAAAATGTTAAAAAATTTTCTCAAGTGACTTTAGATTTCTGCTTGTAAATATTTGCACTTTTGACATCAAGATTATGAATTATTTTGTCTTCCATTGAAAATATCACGTTTTTGGCCAGGCACAGTGGCTGACGTCTGTAATCCCAGCACTTTGGGAGGCCAAGTCAGGTGGATCATTGAGCTCAGGAGTTCAAGAACAGGCTGACCATTATTGTGAAACCCTGTCTCCACTAAAAAGACAAAATTTAGCCGGGTGTGGTGGTGAGCACCTGAAATCCCAGCTAGTGGGGAGGCTGAGGCAGGAGAATCACTTGAACCTGGGAGGTGGAGGTTGCAGTGAGCTGAGATTGCACCACTGCACTCCAGCTGGGGTGACAGAATGAGACTCCATCTCAAAAAAAATTTTAAAAGTCACATATTTTAAATTCTCATCCAGTTGTTCTCTTCCATTCTCTCCTTCCATGTTGGTTACTTGACTAAAATAATTCAAGGTGTTTTAGTGGTAGCTGTAAGAGTGATTGCAGACCATAGAATAGAAATATTTGCCTTATTTAAAATGCTCAAACATTTTGCCAAATTAATAATACACATCTAAATTTCCTTCTGGTAATATTTTTCAGAAAGTGAGATTTCAATTTCTCTTAAAAAATTTCAACACTTTCTAGAACTTAAGCCCATCAAAGTTTGTACATTGTAAACGTATTTAAAAATTATAGAGGATAGCTTGGAGTTTCTTATTTTATTTCTGTATTCATTACATGAACATTCCTCGTCCATTTAATGCAGTATAAAATTCCAGGATTGTAGGGAAAGTATTTGGTACATTCATACTAGTTTGGAAAGCAATAAATTATACCTTGATACATAAAATTTATAATGTATGGACAAATATTGCAGATACCTGAAAATTGCACACATTTTCAGGGTTATTCAGTTAATTAAAGTTTTGATAGTAGTTGAACATTTCACATTCTGAGGATGCCAAACATTGTGTTAAACACCTCCAATAGGCATGATTAAGGTATTATTCACCCTAGTGGTACTGATCAAACCTGATAAAGTCTCCCAAAGAGATTTATTGGCAAGCACATGGCTTGAAAAACTAGGAACTTGTTGCAATGGAGTGACATGTTTATCTGATTGTGTGCTGAAGGAAAATGGCATCATGTCCCACATCATATGTAATAGTCAGTTTTCACATGGCTATAAAGACATACCTGAGACTGAATAATTTATAAATAGAAGAGGTTTAATCAGCTCACAGTTCTGTGAGCTGCAAAGGCTTCTGCTTCTGGGGAGGCCTCAGGAAACTTATAATCATGGCAGAAAGCAAAGGGAAAGTAGGCACATCTTCACATTGCTGGCAGGAGAGAAAGAGTGAAGGGGGAGGTGCTACACACTTTTAAACAACCAGTCCCTCACTATCACGAGAACAGCAAGGGGGAAGTTTGCTCCCATGATTCAATCACCTCCCACCAGGCCCCTCCTCCAACACTGAGCATCATAACTCAACATGAGATTTGGGTAGGGACACAGAGCCAAACCATATAATCATATGTAATCCATTTAAGATCATTAAATAAAGTCAATGGTTATGGAATAATAATTTCATCTTGCAAAAGCACTGTTTTAGTTTTTAGCCTCTCTTCTAAGTAGCAAAATAAAATATTTCAAAATAATTTGAATTCATGAACATCTATTTCATTGTCCATAGATTTTATTTTTATTATTTTGAATTGACAAGGTGAATATGCCTCAGTTTTGACAGACAAATTAAATATACCTCAAGACACTGTCTTAAAGTTGAGGCAAATACATATTCTGTTAAGTTTGTACGTTATTGTAAATTGTGCTATACTCTCATGAAAATGCTCCCTTGTGCCTGATATTTTTTATGGACTTGTTCAACTATTACAAATTTTTTTTTTTCAATTGCCAGTAATCTTACCACACAAAGCTTTTCTCTTACACAACATTCTGAGTTGGAAGAAAAAATACCAGTGGTTATGTCCATTTGATTTTCTAACAAATACCTGTTCATATTGCTATGAAAAAATACCTGAGACTGGGTAATTTATAAAAGAAAGAGCTTTAATTGAGTGTCAGTTTCACATGGCTGGGGAAGCCTCAGGAAACTTACAATCATGGCTGAAGGCAAAGGGAAAGCAAGAATCCTTTTCACATGGTGGCAGGAGAGACAAGTGCAAGCAGGGGTAATGCCAGACACTTGTAAAACCATCACATCTTGTGAGAACTCACTCACTATCAGAGAACAGCATGGGGGAAGCACCCCCATGATTTAATAACTTCCTCTCCTCCACACCTGGGGATATAGGTCCCTCCCTCAACATGTGGAGATTACAATTCGAGATGAGATTTGGGAAGGGACACAGAGCTAAACCATATTAGTATTGAATGAATATTTTATACTCATTGGACAGAAAGTTTCATTTATAAGACAAATTCTATAGATCTGCTCTACCACATTGTGCTTATAGTTCACAGTACTGTATTGTGCACTTATAATTCGTTAAAAGAGTAGATCTTATGTTAAGTATTCTTATCACAATAAAATAAATATTTCTTAAATGAGTGAGTAAATAAATGAGTGAATTCATAAGTCTGTTAAAGTCACTGATAGTTTAGATATAATGTCATGAATAGCAGTAATTTTGAAGAAATTTAACTTTAAAAACTTTGGATGGAGTATAAGACTCATAAAGTAAATTTTAGATAAGTCTGGCCAAATACATTGAAATCAATTATGAAGTGTTTAAATAGTTTTAGGCTAAGGATTTAGAAATTTACTAGGCAGGCCAAGAGGATCAACTAAAAAGTACTGAGTATTGGAAGGAAGAGAAAATGAATCATATCAGAGCTGAGCCTATTATTTGTTAACTGTAAATCCCACAAGATAACTTGACACTTATACCTAAGAATACATTTTTGTTGGCTTTTCTGGAAACTGAAAAGAATGGGAAGATAAAACAATAGTATGAAAATTGGAAATAAAAATGAAACAATTCTAGTCATAGCACCTCTTAAAAAATAAAAATAATGATAAAATAGTAAAAATAAAATCCAGCAAACAAAGCTGATATGGTTTGGCTGTGTTCCCACCCAAATCTCGTCTCAAATTGTAGTTCCCATAAGCCCCACATGTTGTAGATAGGCCCCGTTGAAAGGTAACTGAACCATGGGGACAGTTTCCCCCATTCTGTTCTCATAATAGTAAGTTCTTATGAGATCTGATGGTTTTATAAGCATCTGGCATCTCCCCTACTGGCACTCATTCTCTTTCCTGCCATCCTGTGAAGAGGTATTTTTCACCATTATTTTAAGTTTCCTGTGGCCTCCACAGCCATGTGAAACTGTAAGTCAATTAAACGTCTTTTCTTTATAAATTACCCAGTTTCAGGTATTTCTTCATGGCAACATAAAAACAGACTAATACAAAAGCAAAACATGCAAACATCCAAAAATCGGAAAAATAGAAACTCACAAAGAAGTTTTTATCTAAAAGCAAGTAAACAGAGAAAACATAAGCAGAATCAAACAAAACGATTGTGATAATAGTAGGAATTATACCTGAAGATGCTTTTGTTAGGTTACTTTTCATAAACAAATTAAAGCATTTTGGCAACCCAAACTTTTTCTTGGTTTAACAGTATATTTCATCACTTAGTTGAAGGTTTGACCCTTAACCCTTCTGAACCAACTTGCCTCTTCACAAATAAATGTGAAAGTTGCTTACGTGATTTCCTAAAGCACAAGTTATTACTTTTTTCTGATAATGTTATGGAGAATACAGCACATTATTAGGAGTAAGTTTCCTTAAACACATTTTGGGAAATGATTACACTATTTATATAAAGAAAGTCCAAGTTTAATAGAAGTCAGCTATTTCAACAGCCTATTGATAAATGTTTTTCTTTTTTCTTAGTAAAAGTTTTATTGTTTCTTCTTTTACACTTGACAACAGTGCATTCTGTATAAACTCATAGACCTATAACATTTGCATATATCCCTTCATTTGCAAGTGTCCCAGAAATACAACTGAACATTTGGGTAAATACACAAAAATTCCTAAGACACAACTAATATAGAATGTACAACACATGGCTACAACTAGAAGCCCATGACAAAATGAGGCACTCTTTCCACTGAAGAGCACCTTGGTATACGGCCCTACAGAAGTGGCAACCAAGAGATAATGTGAAAAGTGAATAATTACCTTTGGTGTATTCTGTTGTATTTGTCCCAGAACATGGGCAAATTATTTAATAAAATGGAAGAGCCTGTTGACTAATACAAGGACAAATGAAAGAGAAACCTATTCAAAAGCGCAATTCCCTCAAAAAAAATCCTCGCAAATCCAATACAGCTAGCCCTCCATATTCATGGGTCTGCATCCCTGATTCAAAAAACCACAAACCATGGATTAAAAATATTTAGAAGAAAAAGTGAATGCTTGTATCTGTATTGAATGTATACAGACGTTTTTCTTGTTATTTCATAAACAATATAGTATAACAATGATTTACATAACATTTACATTGTATTAGGTATTAGAAGTAATATAGAGATGATTTAAAGTATAAGAGAGGATGTATATAGGTTCTATAAAAATATTACACCATTTTATATCAGGGACTTGAGCATCAGTGGATTTTGGTATCTGTAGGGGTCCTGGAACCAATCTGTCGCAGATACTTAGGACTGACTCTGTAATCTTCATTAGCTAGGCTTCCTTTTAATTTATTCCTTTAGTAAAATTGGAAAAATAAAATAGAATAAAATCTCATTAATAAATTATTGACTGGCTCACAGGAGAAATAATAAATTAGGCCAAATAAACACCTCCCACCAACAGAGGTCATAGGAACTTCTAGAAACCTGTGCCATCTTTAATTCAGATCCAGTTAAAAGGAGAGTCTTATTGTCTTTGGAAAATGCCATGTTTTTTCTTTAAGGGCACATTTTCAGTAAAATATTTATCTGAGTTTCTAGTTTTACCAGAATCTCAACACTGTTCATTGTTAAGCTTTGAGGAATAGCTAGAAATCATCTGAATATCTTATTTTACATAGTAGGGAACCGAAGTCCAGAAAAATTGCTTGGCCAGTTTGTTAATAAAAATGCCAGAATTGGAGGAAAACCCCTCTGCTTTCCATGGTCTTTATACTCTACCACAGGATCTCTCTGGCAAATTGCAAGACTAAATGTTCATAGCAGGGTAACTTCTTTGCCTCTGGTACTGCCACATTAGTTATATTCTGTAGATATTTTTCAAATTTCCATCCAAGCTTTCATCAAAATTCCCTGTAGGTTGCTTTTGATTTTGATTCTGCACACAAGATAATGTAGATCTATAAGATTAAAATGTCTAATATTGAAGAGATTTATCTTAGTGTTAACAATAGAATCTGCATTTTCATATGTAGGTAAGTATTGGACAATTATTTTCTTTTTTTGCCTATTAAGCCCTAAAGGCAAAGTTGAGAGAACAAGAGAATATTGTTTTCTCCTGATTTTTAAAGTAATACAAGTAATTGTAGAAAGATATGAAAATATAAAAATTATGAAGACAAATTTAAAAATCCAATAGTTATTTAAGAGTACAATAGTGATCTAAATATACAACTTCTGAAGTTGTATGTTTCTTTACGTAGACAAAAGTTGAGTATCTATCACCACAAACATATTATATAACAGTGCCACTTCTGCAAAATTTATCCAATGCCCCTTAGTAGTCAGCCTTTCCTCCTGCCCATGGTAACCACTGATCAATTTTTTGTCACATGTAGTTTTGCATTTTCTATAATGACATAAAGTTGGAATTAAAATATCCATAGAATTTTGAAATAAGAAAGTGCTTCCTATGAGACAAGTTAGCATGGTGATAAGGAAGTCATAATATGTTAAAATGAAAAATAAATCAATGTTGAGTAAAGTATACAGTTGAGTTTTATTTTTGAGGGAAAAAGAACATTATGTATATTTTATCAAATGACACAGCTGTGTATTTGTGTTTGTGTGTATGTAAGCTGACATTTTACCTTTATTATCTAATTTTATTCTCACAGTCCTATGCGGTATGTTTTACTACCCACTTTTTATATAAAAATAAACTAAATCACAGGTAAATAAGTTTAATAAAAGGCACATAGCTAGGCTTATCTGGAATTCTCATCCAAGTAATAAGGTATTAGAATCTATGTTCCTAACAACTCTGAATATTTGGCGTATGTTCTAGTATTAGTTTGTTTTTCATAATTTTCTATGATTAGCAGGAATCAATTACTATTTAAACTTATATAATGTTGTAAATTATTTTTAAGTCTTACAAAATGGTCCTCCAATTAGTGATGTAATTAGCCTCTTATGACCTGAACTTCTCTGAAGAGTCAAAGTAGTTCAATGATGTAAGGATAGTTATCAATAGATCATGATGGTAGAATGTATTTCTTTGTTTTGTTTACTTCCTCGTACAGTAAAATGATTCCCCCATTTAATGAATTTCAAAAAACTATATGAATATTGCTTGTACTTCTACATATTCTTGCTACGTTGTGCTCTTTAAAAAATAAACAAGTAAAACACAATGATTTATATCATCATGAAAGAATTAGGGATTTGTGAAAGTGCTCATTTGGATTTGTCTTTAAATTCAACCTGAAAATTATACTTTTGTTATAAACAGATGTCATCATTTGACTCATTCTGGAAATAAGCTTTATTTACTTGAAGATTGTTAAAAATAATAAAATATTATTAATGTCTTCCCTTAAGTGTGTTTATATAGCACAAGGGAAGGCTAGACTCAGTTTCAAAGTAGTTAAATTCCTCTTGGCATGTGACATCTTTCATCAATATCAAAGTGGGCGTGATATCATTGCTTTGTGATTTTTGAAGAAAGCCTTCAATATATTTGTGTAGAGATCCAAAAATTCATAATAGCATTTGTCCAACTGCCCATTGTATAGTTTTCTTTAGAGCTGTATTTTTTATGTTATAGAGACCCTTCACTTTTTTGACAGCTTTATTGAAGTATAATTGATATTTTAAAAAACCCTGCTCATGTTTATTATATACAATTTGATGAGTTTGAGCATATGTATATACTCTTGATACTATCACCACAGTTGAGGTAATAAATATATCCATCACCTTCAAAAGTTTCCTTGTGTCTCACTCCCTTTTAAGTGGGGAGTAAAAATGTTGACATGTGATTTACCTTCTTAACAAATTTTTAAGTAGAAAATACCATGTTGTTAATAATAAGGACTATGTCGTACAGAGGATCTCTAAAATTTATTTATCTTGCATAACTGAAACTTTATAACTATTGAACAATTCCCCATTTTCCCCACCCTGGCGTTCTATTCAGTACTTCTATGACTTTGACTATTTTAGATACCTCAGATAAGTACAATCACACAGTATTTGTCTTCTGAGACTGGCTTATTTTACTTAGCCGGTTAATATCTTCTAGGTTCATCCATGTAGCAAACTGTAGAATTTCCTTCTTATTAAAGGCTGAATGATATTCTGTTGTATGTATGTACCAAATTTTCTTTATCCGTTCATCTGTCTATAGATGTTTGGATTGTTTTCATATCTTGCTATTGTGAATAATGCTGTGATGAATACGGGAATGCAGCTATCTATTTGAGATATCAATTCAATTCTTCTGAATATATACCCAGAAGTGGGATTGTTGGATCATGTGGCAGTTCACTTGTTAACTTTTTAAGGAACCTTCATACAGTTTTCCATAGTAGCTGCACCATTAGTTTTAGAGTATGTAACAAATTTAACTTCATAATTAATTTCAAGCCCATTTTATTTGAGGAAGTATTAGAGTTAAATATTACAAAAATATTTTTTAAATATGCAAAATGAAAATAGAGAAGATAAAATCAGTGTAAACGCTTATTTAAAAACTGCTTTGGACTCAAATTGATTTAGAGACTGAGGCCAATTAAAGCAAAACAAGTAGATGTGATAAGAAAGAGCTATATGTCAACACTGATTTCTTTTTAGATTTGTTTGAGGACTGGTTAAATGTTCGTGAAATGGCTAATGCCAAACCTTTGTCAGAGCAAATTTGTTTAAATTAAAAATATTGATTAAATATATTACCTGTAGCATTTATGGAAGTGAACTTTTACTCTGAAGAGAATTGCTTTTTGCCAGCTTCCTGTGCAAATTTGACATTAGTGACTATTAGGAGATTACCCTGAATTAGGTGTAGCCATGCTAGAAGTGTAGTGAAAAACAGTTTCACTCTTGAGATAACATGAAATAAGGTGTTGTCACCTTAAAAGTGACAATAATAAGTAAGTTAAATGAACTTTGTTTCACTTTTTAAACTTCAAATTATGGTGGTTATTTTTAATCCAATAAATAAATTCTAGTTATTAAAGAAGTTAGAGGTTGACAATGCATGGAAATGCATAAGATGCTAACTGCTAAGGTTAAAAGCTTTGATTCTCCTGGGTTAAGTACATAAGTTTCATTTTATTTTTGGATCAACTGTAATGGCTTGAATATAAATATATAAAATATATATGTATCATATTTATTACTTGCATATGTACAGAGTTACTACCATGATTCTCAACATGATCTAGTGGTGGATATTACAGTGCTGAACAAACTAAACAATTACTACTTTCATGAAGATTACATTAGCAAAATGGGCAAGAAATGGGCATATATATGCATATACACACAGATATGTAGCATACATGCATGTTACACATGCACACATGTATATGTGTATGCATGTAGGTGTATAAGTAGGTGGCCATAAATGCTATAAAATAAATAGAAAAGGAAAATTGATTTTAATAAGATTATCATGGGATACATCACCATCATTATTTTATATGATTGCCATTATTTTATAGAGTTAAATGGTAAGGCAAATTTCTCCTTGCTGAAAATATGTTCAGCACCAAATTTCTCCTGATAGTGAGCATATACAAACTGGATATTAAACTGTTAAAAAACAAACAGATGAATAAATGAATATTTGTTGCAATCCAGGAAGCTTAATAAAGTAGTATCCATTTGCTTTCAAGTATGGCAAAAAGGTAAATAGCATAAGAAAATTATTTCAGCTCTCTCACTGCTAACCTAGGCTGTAGGGCATGACTTAGATTTGAAGCATGGCTTTGTTTCAATATCAAATTTCAGGATAAAATTAGCCCATCCAGGCACAGGAAATACTGGAGAATTGCAGCACTAACCCATAGGCTTATCTCCTTAAAAGATGTAATGGAGTGTTTATTGTGCTCAAAATATGAAATATATTTTAATCTCTCATTATCCCTTACAATTTTAGAGTGAAGAAAATCTTCCCCTTTCCTTGGATTACTATTTTAGCTTACTATGATTTCTGTTCCTTTTAGGGTAACAGATCATGACTGCAATCACTTTAAAGTGAGAAAACAAAACGCCAATTCTGTGAATACAATGTCCAGATCAATATAATAATGCAAACTCTGAACTTGTTTTAATTTAATATTCTTTCTCCCATGTGAGCATATTTGCAGATAATAAGGCCTTTGGCTCTCTCCCTGCTCACTTTCTGCTTTCTTCATTAGCTGGTGTGTGCGTGTGTGTGCACATGTGCCTGTGTGCCTGTGGTGTGTGTGTGTGGGTGTGGGTGTGTATCAGATAGAGGAGAGGTGGGAGAGGGAGAAGAAAAGAGAGAGGGGAGAAGGAAGAGGAAAAGGCAGAGGAAGAGAAAGAGAGGGTTTGCAAACTTTATAACATCCACTATTATTTCTAGTTTTCTTACAGACCCACATTAGCATTCCTGACATAGAATTCTAAAGAAGTCACTTAGCTAGAGCTGGCCAATCTCATAGAAACACATTTGCTTCCACATTACAAATAGCTTGGAAGGCTAAGGTGGGAGGATTGCTTGAGGCCAGGAGTTCCAGACAAGCCTGGGCAACAAAGTGAGACCCCCATCTCTACAAAAAATAAAATAATAATTAAAACAATAGCTGGGTGTGGTGACATGTGCCTGTAGTCTCAGCTACTTGGGAGGATGAGACAGGAGCATCACTTGAGCCCAGACATTTGAGGCTGCAGTTAGCTATGATCACGCCACTGCACTTCGTCCTTCAGCCTGGGCAGCAGAGTGAGACCCTGTCTCAAAAAAAAAAAAAAGTGAAAAATAGCTGAGTTGCAGCAGACAAAACAGAAAGCAATTCAAGTCACTGTTTTTCAGAAGTTAGTTTTTCAGAACTATATTCAGAAGTTAGTTGATGTGCATCCTATCTGGTGCATCCTATCAAAGAGATGTGGCTAGTAGCATGCATGAATGATGCTAATGGCTGTCCTGGGACTATGAGGAGCTGTCTGGGCTGTCTGACCACCTCTTTCCCAGGTGGAAGGGTGAGATCAGCATCTGGGAAGGGCTCAGCATTCTTATAGTCCCCTTTTTGCTTTATTCTAATAATCGAGGGCTTGCTACCTATATTCCATCTCTCTCGTTTTCAATTGCCAAGACTGTGATAATTTCCACTTGGTTTATTTTCTCTTCTTAAAATCCCATATTTAGAACTAAAATTCACATATTAATGTTTTATTGACTCAACTATTTTCTCTGGTTCAAGGTACTCATTAAATATAAACTTTAAGGAAAATTTCATCTGTGGGTGAAACATCTTTAAGCCAATAACTGAAAATGAGTCAGGCTGAAAGATTTGATTGAATTATCACTTTCCCAGTATGGAATAACAATGATAACATTATTTAGAATGTCTTTAATCCTACACAGTGTAAATTTTAGCATGGTATTATTTTATTTTAATTTTTTTATAAATATTCAGTTCATTGCCATTGTCAATTTTTATACTTGGCTATTAGTAGTTTTCAGAATACTTTGTAAGACATTTTCACATAGTCTCTTCAAGGTATAGAATAAGTCATTTTCTAAGTTATCTGTCTGTATTTTAAGATGTATTTGAAGGATATACTATTTTAGTTAATGTTTTTCTCAACTTTTTCCACCTATGCTACTGTATTATATGCTTTCAGGTTAACTTTATTGTCAATATATGAGAATTAATAAACAACTTACAGATATATGCATGTGAATAAACCTCATGTGTATACGTTATGTGTGTATTTTTCTTAAGGTTTAGTTATTTGTATTTTTTCCGGAATAAGTCCCTGTTAAGTATTTTGATTTAGTAGTTAATTAATACATTCCTGAATTGTATTTGTTGCGTTCAATTTAGGATTCTTGCATCTATTTTATAAATAATACAGGACTATACATTTTTATTTTTTCCTATTACTGTCAAATTTTGGAATGAGTTTTGTAACATCTATATAAACTGAATTGGGAGAAATTTTCTTGTTTTGTTCTGACTAGAAAAAAATAATTATAAAATTAATGACCAATACTTTCCAAGTATGCAAGTAGAGCATCTTATTATTCATCTAAGGAGTATCAGTAAAGCTTGGAAGATACAATGCACAATTAGGCTAAAGTAAGCAATGAAATAGTCCTACCACACATTAAATATGGCAAGAAAATTTCAGTGAGGGTATATATATTTACCAGATGAAAAAACTTGACTGATATAAACTTGAGGCCCTAAGATAAAATATGTAAAGAGGTTTAATGTATTACACAGTATTTAGTAAGTGATTTTTAAGTGAGCATCAGTGGATGCATTTATGTATCTCTGGGTAGTTTCTTAGGGAGTAAAAAGCATACCTTTGAGTGGATTTATTCATATTAGAGAGAAATGGTGAATGGTTTTATTTTGGGTTTTTTTTGCCTAATAATTAAATAGTTTACTCTTATTATCTTAAAGTCTTACTCTGCTTTTCCAAGGCATAGAACTCAGATAAAAGATTATTGAGTTAAAAATAAATGGACATGATAAATCAGAAGATTTATTTCATAATAGGTTTTCTGATTTCTATAATTGGAAAAAGTCAAGACTTTAAACTGTTACCCAGTGGTTTCCTCATATTTTGTAATATAGATCAAGCAATCGATAGCATATCTACACTGTGCCTGCATGTTTAGCACAAGCTTAGCACATGTTATATCATCAATAAGCCTAAATCATTCTAAATCAATCAGTTGCAGATGGTACCCTATTTTTATGTAAAATATAGCAAGGAGGCTAGAGTTAGAAAGTCCCAATTGTTTCCACAGATGGTTTAAAATTTAGTAGCTAGCATGAGAGAAACAGACAACAATTATACAAGAAGGAATAAAATAAATATTAAAAGAGAGATACAGTCAAAATGCTATGGACATTCAAAGAATGAAGAAAATATAGAAAATAATAAGTTGAAAATACAAACCAGAAGTTTATATAAAATTATAAAGCAAAAAATAGAGCCACAAAATGTTAAAGGCAAAAATAACCATACAGAATATAATTAAAATGAAGACATATGAGATTTACATATATTGAGACTCAGTAATAAAGAAATAATTAGATGGTTAAGTAATTCAATAAACATATGTTGAGCTGCTAGGTTTAAAAAGATAAATAAGATTAACATAGCCACTGGCTTCTTATCACTTACACTTTAGTGGAAGAAAGAGATAAGTAAACAGCAACTTACAATAAATTTGATAATTTTAAAAAGGAAGACTGTAAATATAGGCCTAGCTAACTCACATTTTGTGGATCAGAGAAGGTTTTTCTGGACACAAAGGTAGATTCTATATTAGGCCTTAAAAATGGGTAGGAATTATTCAGTTGGTATGAAGGCTTCTACAGTGATAATGTACAGACATGCAAGCATGTCTGTTTATCTGTAAAGGAACTGTGGAACTTTGTCATTAATATCTGTGTAACTATTTTCTGATTCCTTCACTTGACATCCATA
Source organism: Homo sapiens (assembly GCF_000001405.40). Taxonomy (NCBI): domain Eukaryota; kingdom Metazoa; phylum Chordata; class Mammalia; order Primates; family Hominidae; genus Homo; species Homo sapiens. The sequence goes on along the minus strand of NC_000009.12, from coordinate 31,446,594 downwards.
ACAACACTGTGCATCTCTGTACTACAGGCCTGTCTGGCATCATGAACCCTAACAGGTATGTTGACTCTGGTTGTTGGCATAATTTTTCCCTTATGACTTAAAGTAATTCAGACTCCCTTATGGGGAAGGATAATAATAGCAGTGCAGCTTTAAATTAGTCCTCTCTTCAAATCCCCTAAGAAAAACAAGCAGGGTATCTAGGATAGGAAAATAAATATTTCATGTAGAACACCGTTTATGAAGCGACATGACAAGGATTCTCCAGGAACGATGAAAGGAGGGTGCGAAATAAAGCAACATAGAAATCTAGGCACCACAAGGAAAGAATCCAGGTCTACCAGCAGTGCATAGGTGGTAGGGTGGAGAAAGAGGAACTTCAACAATTCAAGAGCACAGGAACACAGAAGATGCGAATGAGTACTCACTGGAAAATTCAGAGGACCTGATACCAGCAAGTAACTATGGTAACAACAGTGAAAGAGGAAGAGGCCTCTGCAAGCTTCATTTTGTTTAAACAGATTTACTCAAACATAATTTACATCATATAAAATGTACTTGTCTTAGGCATACAATACAGTTTTTAGTAAAAATATAGGGTTGTATAACCATCACAACAACCCAATTTTAAAATATTTTCATCATTCCAAAAACATCCCTTGTTTCTTTCCCAAGTACTTCGTATAGCCAACTTCAGTTGCAGGCAACCACCAATCTACTTTCAGATTTTTTAATGCACAATTCATATACATTCAATCATAAAATATGTGAGAGGGTTTTTTTGTGCCTGGATTATTTTTAATAGTATAATTTTGTTGAGGGTCATCTGTGTGGCAGGTATCAGTACTTTGCTTCTTTTTATCATTGAATTGTTATTCCACTGTATGGATGTACCATATCTTCCTCTTCACTTGCTGGTTGATAGGTGTTTGTTTTCAGTTTTGGTGTATTATGGATTGGGCTGCTATAAACATCACATAGAAGTCTTTGTGTGGGCATGTATTTTCATTTCTCTTGGGCAGATTCCTGTAAGTGGTATTGCTGAGTCATGCTTTACATTTACATTTAAGTTTTAAAAACCATTTTACAAAGCCACTATACCATTTTACTTTCCCTCCTGTAATGTATAAGGATGTACATGTATTGGTGTCCGTCTTTTTTTTTTAGAACCATTCTAGTGGGTGTTATGTAGTATGACATTTTTGTTTTAATCTGCATTCTCCTAATTATGATGCTGAGTGTCTTTTTCCATGCTAATTGGTCGATGTACATCTTTTTGTTGAAATGTCTGTTTTTTTTTATTTGTTTGTTTTTTGAGACAAGGTCTTGTTCTCTCACCCAGGCTGGAGTACAGTGGTTCAATCATAGCTCACTGCAGCATCAAATTTGTGGGCTCAAGCAATTATCCTGCCTCAGCTTCCTGAGAAGCTAGGGCTATAGATATGAGGCACTATTTTTGGCTAACTTTTAATTTTTTTGTAGAAATGGGGTCTCAGTATGTTGCCCAGGCTGGTCTGGAATACCTGGCCTTAAGTGAATCTCCTGCCTGTCTCCTAAAGTGCTGGGATTGTACCCATGGAACCACTGTGACCATCCTGAAATTTCTATTGAAAACTTAAGCCCATTTTTAAAGTGGGCCATTTGTCTTCTGGTTATTGAGTTTATGTCCTTTGCTGGGACATGGATGAAGCTGGAAACCATCACTCTCAGCAAAGTAACACTAGAACAGAAAACCAAACACTGCATGTTCTCACTCATAAGTGGGAGTTGAACAATGAGAACAAACACATGGACACAGGGAGGGGAACATCGTGCACCAGGGCCTGTTGGGGGTTGGGGGACTAGGGGAGGGATAGCATTAGGAGAAATACCTAATGTAGATGACGGGTTGATGGGTGCAGCAAACCACCATGGCACCTGTATACCTATGTAACAAACCTGCACGCTCTGCACATGTACCCTGGAACTTAAAGTATAATAATAATAATAAAAGAAAGTAAGCTTACTGTAGAGGTATGGCTTTAAAAATAATAATAATAATAATAATAATAATAATAATAATAATAATAATCAGAATACATTTTGAATACAAGTCCTTTGTCAAAATTAGGATTTGGAAGTACTTTCTCCCAGGTTGTATCTTGTCTTTCGATTTTCTTAAAGGTGCCCTTTGAAGTATAAATGTTTTTAGTTTTTACCAAGTCTGATATAACACATTTTTCTTTTATAGACGGTGCTTCTTTATAGTATTTAAGAAACATTTTCTTTTTCTTTATAGTATTTAGTACTATAAAGTACTATATGACTCAGCAATACCACTTACAGGAACCTACCCAAGAGAAATGAAAATGACCATAAAGTACTAACTATATAATGCTTTATAGTGCTAACTATAAAGTGCTAACTATATTGTAGCAGGACGAGCCACAGACAAAACCTCTCAGACACTGAGTTGTAGAAGGAAGGGCTTTGTTCAGCTGGGAGCATTGGCAAGCTACTGCCTTAAAATCCCAGCTCCCCGAGTGTACAATTACTGTCCCTTTTAAGGGCTCACAACACTAAAGATTTCACATGAAAGGGTAGTGATTGATTTGAGCAAGCAGGGGGTACGTGACAGGGGCTGCATGCACCGGTGGTCAGAGAGAAACAGAACAGGGCAGGGAGTTTCACAGTGTTCTTCTATACAATGTCTGGAATCTATGAATAACATCGGTTTCTAAGTTATGAGTTGATTTTTAACTACTGGGTTTAGGCCAGGCAGGACCAGGCCTGGTTTCAGGCCTGGCTCTGGGCTGCCTGTCTTTGGTTTTACTTCCTTGTTGTTTTTTCTTAAAACAGGTACTGAGTATAAAACAATATAAAATAATATGAGAGGGTCTTTCTCTTCCTTCAATATGGTACTCTACAGTACTAACTATAAAGTACTCTACAGTACTTTATAGTACTTTATATAGTACTATATAAAAATATATATATAGTACTTTATATAGTACTGTATATAAATGTATATATTTATATATAAAGTACTATAGAGTACTTTATAGTACTTCTATATAGTATTTAAGAAACAGCTTTGTTCCCTTTATTTATTTAATAATGTTAGCTCTTTCATTTAGATCTCAGATCTATCTTATTTTTGAGTATGATTTTTAAGACAGTTTAAACTTATCTTTTATGTGTGAATATCAGTGGTCCCACCACTATTTATTGCAAAGACTATTATTTTCCCATTAAATTAATGACATTCAACTTGTTTTGAAAGTTAAGTGACAATAAATATAAGAGTTTATTTCTGGATTCTCAATTCTGTTCCACTGATTTATTAATATATGTCTATCTTTGTATCAGCCCCACACTTTATAGATTATAGTAACTTTATAATAAGTTGAAATTGGGAAGTGTGACTCATCCAAATTTGTTCTTTTTTAATATTATTTTGGTTATTCTATGGTCTCTACCTTTTTGTATAAATGTTCGAAGTAGCTTCTCAATTTCTGAAGGAAAAAAAAAGCCTGCTAGATAATTGATAGGGTTTACATTGAATGGTAGACAAATTTGAGAAGAATTGCAATCTTAATTACACTGAATCTCACAACCTATGAACATGAAAATTCTCTCTGTTTATCTAAGTATTTTTTCATCTCTTTCAGCGACACTTTACACTTTTACTTTATAGATCTTATAATTCTTTTGATAATTTACAACTTTTTTGATGCTAATGTATTTGAGTTGTCTTAATTTTGTTTACAGACTGTTCATTGTTAGTATATAGAATATAATTTACTTTTTTATTGATTTTGTTTATCCTGAAACCTTGATGAATACATGTATTTATTTTTATTATAGCATATTAGGCTATAAATTGGAAATTATTTTTTAAATAAATTTTATTGTGCGTATTCAAAGTATTCAGCATGTAGTTATGAAATGCACAGATAGTAAAATGATTACTGTAGTGAAGTATATTCACATATCCATCATGTCACATAGTTACCCATTTTTCGTGGTGCATGGCAAAAACAGCTAGAATATACTCATTTAGCAGAAATCCCTAATACAGTACAATTTTATTAACTCATGTTGTCCGTTAGATTTTTAGACCATTTCATCCCATTTATATGTGGCTTTATGTCCTCTGACCTACAACTCCCCATTTTCTACCACTCCCCCACCCCTGGTAGGCACTATTTTATTCTCTACCTCTGTATATTTGGCTTAAAAAATTGGATTCCACATATGAATGAGATCATGCAATATTTTGCATCCTGTGTCCAGTTTATTTCACTTAGCATAATGTCCTTCAGGTTCATCTGTGTTGTAGCAAATGGCATGATCTCCTTTTTAAAAACTGAATAATATTCCTCCAAATATATGGAATATAGAAGATATGTATATACCAATTTATCCATTCATCCATCTATGAACAGTTAGGTTGTTTCCATACCTTGGCTATTGTGAATAATGCTGCAATGAGCATGGGAATGCAGATATCTTTATGAGATGGCAATTTTATTTCTTTGGGTATATAATCAAAAAGGGATTGCTAGGTCATAGGATAGTTTTATTTTTAACTTCTTCAGGATCCTCCATACTGTTTTCCAAGAGGGCTATACCAGTCTATGTTCCCACCAACAGTATGCTAGGGTTCCTTATTTTTGAAATTCTAATAGTTTATTGTTTTTATGTATTCTTTATCATTTTTACATACAGAGTCATGTCATCTGTGAATAAAGTCAATTTTATTTCATAATTTCCAAATGATGCTTCAAAACAAATGTTTTGCAGTTAACAGTGTTTTTCTATTTTTTAGTTGGTTTTTATATATACAATAGGAATTTACATTTCTAGGAATTCACTTTTGTATGTTTATGTTAATTTACATTTAACTAACTTAGTAAATTTACCGCTTCCAATTACTATACCATAAAGATAATTGTGTATTTTACTTTGCAATTTACATAAAATTTAAAATTTCTTACTTGTTTTATTGAATTTGATAGAATAGTCAGTGTAGTGTTGAATAGAAGTTGATGCAGTGTATGTCTGCCTCATAGCTGACTTTAATAAGCTATCTTTAATGTATGTTTCTTTATTAAGAATGGCATTCCTGTTGATATTGGATCCAAACAACTTCTTTGTCTGGTTACTGATGTATCCTTGATCTCCTTAAATGAAAAATAAACATTTTGGGAATTTGTTCTTATATTAAGGTAATTATATTTTTGTCCTTCAGTTGCTTAGTATGTTGAAAGGGATTAATTACATTAACATTGAGCATTCACCAATATATACTTAATTGTGTTTTTAATGTTTTAAAATTTTTTGTTAATATACTTAAAATTTTGTATTATTTTTTAAACTAGATTTTTAAAAATTAATCTCCCCTTATTTATGTTCTGTTTACACTGATCTCTTGTAGTTTTTATATCAAGGTTTTATTAGCTTCATTGCAGAGATATTTTGGCATTATTTTTATTTGAAAAACTCTATGTCCTCATGAGTCTTATTAGAAAGACCTCTTACTGTAGAAGCTGCATTTGCCAAATATTCCTGTTCTCAGCCTCTTTCTTATGAAGTCTATGGGCATGCTGTTTACATTTTTTAAATTACTTCTTTTCCCCTCAAAGACATGGGGATCAGATTATGGGACAAATCATTCACTGTCAAGGTCAAGAATTGCTGTAAGATTGAATTCTTGGGTTACTAGTGGTAACATAATTAAGGCAGCGTCCATTATCCAATGTTTTTATTATCAGCATTTATACAATGATACTTACATATTTAGCAAGGTCACAAAGGCACTGATTAATTTTAAGGGATATCAGACCATAAATAACCAGTGCTAGATTTCACTCACGTCCGTGTGAAGAGATCACCAAACAGGCTTTGTGTGAGCAACAAGGCTGTTTATTTCACCTGGGTGCAGGTGGGCTGAGTCCAAAAAGAGAGTCAGTGAAGGGAGATAGGGGTGGGGCCGTTTTATAGGATTTGGGTAGGTAAAGGAAAATTACAGTCAAAGGGGTTGTTCTCTGGGGGGCAGGGGTGGGGGTCACAAGGTGCTCATTTGGGGAGCTTTTGAGCCGGGATGAGCCAGGAGAAGGAATTTCACAAGGTAATGTCATCAGTTAAGGCAGGAACAGGCCATTTTCACTTCTTTTGTGGTGGAATGTCATCAGTTAAGGCAGGAACCGGCCATCTGGATGTGTACCTGCAGGTCACAGGGGATATGATGGCTTAGCTTTGGCTCAGAGGCCTGACACTACCTAAATGATGCATATGAACTGTGCAGGTGGAGTTGGTGACAAAAGTATCCTCAACATTCATTTGGTATTGGTGAGTATTGCTTGTGTGTGGACAGCCTTCAGGTGAACTCTTCAGCCCTCTTTATGATTCTACGGCCCACCTGACAGCCCTTTAATAAATGTATTTTCTGCTACATTATCTGAGTTTATTTCTCTTGTTTGCAAATAAGAACCTTTTGCGGTGGTGTGCAGGAGCCAGCTCCTACTGACTTGCAAGATCTCACAAAGTACACCTCTTTGTAACACTGTATTTGGTGAGGTTGTTTTAATAATTTGAAATCTACCATGGTGGGAATATTCACACCATGCGAATCAATGCATTTTACAAATCAAAGCTTTTGTCATTCTTGTCTGTTTTTTTGAGAGCCAGTTGTTAAACATTTACTAGTACACCATTGCTTGACAAGCACAAACACATTCATGGATAGAAGTTAAGATGTTGCTTATGAATAAAAAAAACCCCAATAAAACTTGCATAAATAATGAGGAAGATATTTATCACAAAACTCCAGAGAAAGGGAAAGCTGTAGGTATAACAAATTTTACGGCTCAGTAACATCTTAAAAGACCCAAGTTCTTTCCATCTTTAAGCTCTTTCATTTTTTATCACAATATGGATGCCACAGTTTCAAAATTTATATGCAGACACAAAAACCAGTGGCAGCAGAGGAGCTATTTATAATTCATTTTAAATTAAATATCAAGGAAACCTTTACCAGAAACCCCAGCAGATTGTCTCATGTCTCATCATGTTTATCCCTAAACCAAATATCAGCCAGCATAATAGGACTACCGTGATTGGCTTATAAAAGCAAAGATTTACCTTTGAATGGGAGAACGATGTTATGTAGATAAAATCCTGCCTCTGTCTATAAGGAGAAAAGTGGGGAGTAGCTGTGAGGTGGAAAACCAGCTAAGTGGAAAACTAGCTGCAGATAGCTCTCCACTTTTCCTCATCTCTGAAAAAGAAACATCTTCAATTTGAAGGTTTGGTAAAACATTTTAAAAATATCTCCACCTGGCGCATTTTAAGGTGAATTTGAACAGCCGTAGAAATTATATCTATTGTGATTGATTCAGGTTTACCATTTTCCTAGTGAGGATACATGATAATTTCAGTGATCAATAAGTGATGTGAAGAAAATGAAAATATGCAATATGCTAGTAAGTATTACTTGGTAATGAGATGGTATTTAACATGAGAATGGGAAAAGGTATGATTTGATCTGAGTTTTAAGAACCTAAGAGGTCATTTTTGAGAAAGAAAATCCAGTGTTTGCATAAAATTTCCACTGGAGTAGACATGGTTGGTGCTCATACCAAAGAACCTAATAACCCATTTGCTATTTCTATACATCGCTTCCTGAGTTTTGGTGTGTGTTTAGGTCTAATCATATTCTCCGGCAACTCAGAGACCTGTTCTCAATCTGTTAAAGCCACTTGGCTCTTCTGACTAAGTGGCAAGAATACCTGTGAGTTTATTGTAGGACCTAACCAATGACTGATGGGTGGAGAAGTAAAAGCTCAACTTCCTTAAGTCCAATTGAGAAAAATTGATTATAAAGTATAATGCAGAGCTCCCTTTTAGGATCAGACTCATACATATCCTGAAAACATACCCTTGCTTGATCCTGTCCTGCCCTTTTCTCTTCTGCTTTTTCACAGGTTTCTCCAGAGAGCAGTTTCTTAATATTTCTGACACACAAATCCTTGCCTGTTTCCAGGGAACCCAAACTAAGATACCTTTTCCACACTGTACATTTGTGTGTATTTGACTCTGTGCACACGCAGAAACAGTGATGGGCAAGGGAGTTCTTTAATATTGGCTGATTTTTATTGCTAATTTGGCCTAAGTACTGGCAATGAAGCCATAGGTGGTGAGATAAGTTAGTTTAACATTGAGAAAACTGGGGAGAATACAGACAAGGAAAATGAGGTGAGACTAAAATCAACAAATTTAAAGTCCAGTAAATAAAAAAAAAAGTAAGTCTATTAAAATTCACAGTCATGAACAAAGGCAACAGAAGAAATAGAAAAGAACAATTTACAATCATGAACAAAAGCAATTAAAAAAAGAAATCTAATAAAAAGGTACAGAGTTTACTAAGAGTAGTCCTGGTATTAAGTGAAATAAGTTAGAGAACTATTAGCAGAAATGCTAGTGGAAATTAAACCAGTTGTTTTCTTCAGCTTTGTTGAGGTTAATTGACAAATATAAAGTGCATATATTCAAGGTGTACAATGAGATGTTTAACATATTTATTACCTCACATACTTTTGTGGTAAGAATACTTAAGATCTACTCTTTTAGCAAATTTCAGGTACAATTGAGGATTTTATATACTTTAAAATTATTAATTATACTCACCCTGCCATGCATACAATTAAACCAGTTTTTAAAGGAGGTGTAAAATTTGGATAGGCAGAAAGTAATGGTGAGAATGTTATCTGTTTGTGGAACTATTGGGACAAAGAAACAAAGGCTAAAATATTCAAAGACCATTCTGGTGATGCTAATATGTTAATAGTAATGACAACAGTGGCTAATCAGTTTTGAAAGTTCCATGAGCCAAACACTCCTTGAAGCATTTCACATGCTGTCTTTATTTACCAACAACCCTGTGAGGCAGGTATCATTACTATGCCCTGTTACACACATATAATGAGTCTAAGGCATGTGGAGCACATAATTTGATCAATGATATGTAGAACATTAATATTCATAAATAATATATTTCCAGAAGGTAAAATGTATATTAATTTGAAAAAGTTGATTAGAAGAAGTGTACTTCTAACTGAAATTAGGATACTGAGTATTTAAATAGCAGAGAAAGAAGCTAGAGGGCTCAGAGCTTGTGCTGTAGGTATGTTAGTCACATCGCACTCTGGAATTTGTCAGTGATGTAAAATAGTTAAGAAATACTGGGCTAGACAAAAAGATGACCAGTTAAGAGGCCTTTGCGTACACTTACTCGTAAGATAAAGATTCAAACAGCAGCAGTAGATGCCAGGTGGTAAAGAAGTGGTGCTTGATACAGTGCAAAAAATTACTGAAGTAAAGAGGCCTGTGAAAAATGAAAATATTGTTTAGCATGTTTAGAGCTACACTTGACTGTTCTCACCTCTGCCTTGCGCGTAAGAAGCAGTATTACCAGCCTCTGTAGCACAGTGTAAACCCTACTTGAGGTCTGAAAATCATAGAATGTAATTTATCAGCCCATATTTAAACCTCTGTCTCTGCAAGTCACATGGAAGTAATAATATTAGAACATTAATTAAATGGGAGTGAAATGCACAAAGATAAGCTTTCAGTAAGTATATTGACTCATCCAAACAATTTATTGGATTTTTCCCCAGAAGTTAAAAAGGTAAGATTATTGAAAGTATAATTCAAATTGTTGCGAATATTTTTCTCAAACTTCAGATTATATTTTTTTTCATTAATTTTCGTGCTAATGTTGTGTGTATAACCACCATGTGTACTTTTGATCATTGGATCATTCCTTTCCTTCTGTGATTCTATATAGAAATCCAGCACTGGAAGGCATTTAGGAGGACTGTTCCTCATATCTAAATTCATAAGCCCTTTTCTAGCTCCATACATGATTATCTTTGTCAGGTTGGTACTATTCAGTTGTTTTTGTTTTCTCTAAAAACTATAAAAACAACAACTTATCTCTACTAACCATAATGCTTAAAATGATCCTTTTGGTATCATTTTCAGGTAAATGTACATTCCTATTTTATAATTTTCACTTTATTTCTAGATTAATTCCTGAAACTTTATGTCTGGTTGATACATAACAAGTAGCCTAGTTATTCCTTTCTAGGTATTCTGTCAAAAATGGCAAGATAAACCAATAATGGCAAGATAAACCCAGTCCTATATAAAAGTAACAACTTTTGGATGCCATCTTTCTCTGAATTTAGATCCTATATTAAATAATTTAAACTCAACTATGCTATGATTTTGTATTAAGATTCTCTTACCCTCCTTTGTTGTCTGTCTTAAGTTGATTCTTTCTCGTGGATACTCTTTCAGTTTTTGTATCTCTGGCTTTAGATCTTCCCTTGACAATCATTTGCTCTTTTCCTGCTTAGAAGATATTTTCTGGCAAACATCTTGCCTCTCTCTTATTTACTACTAGCATGTGGTAAAAATATTGATAATTTCACCCACAATACAGTCCTGGAAAATATTCCTCAAGAAATTATTCAGAAGTTATATATTGTATGTATAGGTAAGATATAATTTGAGACTTGAAAATTAAGTTGTGTTTACATTAATGGAAAAGTTTTATAGGTTCTTGCATTTTAAAAGAGGTGATTTCTTATAACATCAACACATTAAATAATTGACTGAGACTGCTTTGATTTTACCCCAGACTTCATAAGTTATAAGTTAGGTGGTAGATACTAAGCTTACCTACTGTATTTGTCCATTGTCATGCTGCTATAAAGAAATACCTGAGACTGAGTAACTTATTAAAAGAAAAAGAGGTTTAATTGGCTCACAGTTCTGCAGGATGTACAGAAAGCATGGTGGCATCAGCTTCTGGGGAGGTCTCAGGGAGCTTACAATCATGGTGGAAGGCAAAGCGGGAGCCAACACTTCACATAGCCAGAGAAAGAGGAAGAAGAAGAGGTCAGAAGTGCTACATACTTTTAAACAACCAGATCCCATGAGAACTCACTCACCATCATCAAAACAGCACCAAGAGGATGGTGCTAAACCATTCACGAGGGATCCACCCCCACGATCCAGTCACCTCTCACCAGGCCCCACCTCCAACATTGAGGATTACAAGTGAACAGGATATTTGTGTGGGGATATAGATCCAAACCCTGTCACGTACACTATGAAAAATCAAAGAAGATAGAGATATAATTAATTTTGTTGGACATTTATAGACACAATACTGGCAACTTTATATACCGTTTTTCCAATCCTGCAGAATATGCATTTTTAAACAATTATAGATTCAGAGAGTACATGTGCAGGTTTGTCATAGGCATATATGGTGTAATGGTGATATTTGGGCTTCTGGTGTACTCATCACCCAAATAGTGAACATTGTACTGAATACATAATGAAGTTTTATATTAATATGTCTAGAATTTGGTCTGCATTTCATGCTTTCTGTAGCTTTGAGTATAGGATAATGAAATTTCCTCTAGTGTCCATGTGTGTCATTTCATTTATTTAATTAACAAGTATGAATCCAGCACTGTTATTAGTCCAGTATTCTTTTAGATCTCAAGAATGCAGCAATAAACAAAATAATCAGTGAAGTCCTAGCTCACAGGTTGGTTACATGTTAGTGAAAAAGACAGAAAATAATTGTTGTAAAATAACCTATATACTGTGTCAGATGGTGATAGTGCCATGAAGCAAAATAACGTAGTGTTAAGGGTATGCGTATTTTAAGCTGGGGCAGGGAGGATGTTAGTCATTCAATTTTTAATAGAATGATCTTGGAAGTCCTCTTTAAGGTGATATTTGACTGAGACCTGAAAATTAGAGGTAATATTTTGGAGAAGAATGTTTTAATGTAAAAGTCCAGCAACACCGGTTGCCCCTAGGAACGAGCTGATGTTTGTGAAGAGCGAGCAGACTAGCCTGACTAGAGGAAAGGGAGCATGTGGTGGAAACGTCCTGAATGTGGGGAAGGCAGGCCGGCCATATGGGCCTGCAGAAAGATGTAAAGAAAGAAACTAGTTTGGAGGGGAAGATGATGAGTTAATTTTGGTACATGATAACTTCAAACTGGATATTAGACATTCAAGTGAATGTTTCAAATAGACATCTGGAATATTAGCAACTACACCATACAGCCTCTGGAAAATACTATGGCTCTATGAAATACTATTAAATAGTCATCTGCGACTGAAATTATCATATCCTTTCACTAGAGGAAAATACATTGTGAATGTTTTGCAGAAAAAAGGCCTATTTGGTGTCATTTTTCATCAGTTAAAAGAAGGGGCAATCCATATGATTGTATTTTACTCTCCATCTATATTCAGCTGTTAAGGTAGATGCAAAAGATCTGGGGAGCTGTTCCTAACAAAGTTGGTTGTGACAAAGCCAGAATAGGACATAAACATTGAGCATATATGCAAGACAGTGATTTTAGTCATGGACAATATATTTTAAACAGTTTAAGGAAGGAACTAAAAACATTAGGAAGATAAGGAATGTAAACATGTGTAATTTCCAAAGGAGAAGACAAGACAGTTGGACAATGGATGGCAAGTCTAAATGCTGTTTGTAAATTATTCGTGTTATAGTACAAGAGGTAGTCAGCTAGGAAGATGGAAGGTATTAAGTAAAAATAAAAACATTGTGCACGAATGAATATATTGATAGGTTATTGGTTTTAATAGCAAGGAAATGGTGAGGTGTAACCACAGATGAGAGTGGCTAATATAGGGAACAAAACAAAGTCATTCCAGGAGAAGAGTTCCAAACATTAAAGTTTCAGATACTGGAAGCCTCATCAAAATGGATATTAAAATCATCAAAAATGAAGACAAGTGCATTCATTAGATACAGCATGAGATTTTAAAAAGTAATTATAAAGACAAGAGTGGAGACTGGGAGTGACTCAGCTGCTAAAATATTCAAGAAACAACAACAAAACATTGAATTCCTCTCTTGGGGTATTTTGACAACAAGAACAGAGAGGAAGGAGTAACATCTGTTATAATCTGATGAAGTGCAAATTAAAGCTCAAAAATTTTTAAGAGGAAGAAGGGAAATGTGGAAGTAGAAATGAGGAATAAGAATGTAATCAACATTATTTTCAGGTCAAATGATACAAGGTGTATAGAAAAAAAGTCAATAATTCAACCAAATACTCAAGCGGCAGAGCTGGACTCATATTCAGGTCTACCTGTTTTGAAACATGTGCTCTTTTTACTTTTCCTTGGCATTGCAAAACAAAATACTTGACTCATGGTCTAAACTTACTGCAACTGAGGTTTGAAAATGTGTGGGACCAAAAACATAAAATGGAGTTGTGAGCATCTCACTATTCTTTGTATTCTTCTGAAAAAAGTATATATTTGTGTATTCTTCTCAAAAAAGTTTATGCATACACATATATATACACACACAAATACATATTACATTCTTCTGAAGGAAAAAGTAGTTATTGGATAGGAGGTATAAAAAGGAAATTTTGAAAACACATACAAATACGGTGAGAAAAAAGTAAAGAGAAGAGTCTAAATATACCCATGACCCAGAGAGTAAGCTGTGAGATGAGCTCAAAAATAAAAACACCAACTCATGTGTCAAGAAATCAGAAAGATGTTAGTTGCTGAAAAGGTCAAGAGACTTATATATGCAGAAGCAAGAAAACATCATGCCATCATATGGAAGTTAGGAGCAAAATAATATCTAGAAGAAACATTTGAGTCTCCTGCAAGTGAGAGCATCCTAGAATGTTCTTTGGAAACTTAAAAACACTTAGATGGATGCCATACTTTATAAGATATTGTAGAACTCTGGAAAGCATCTGAAATAAGGGGACTGAAAGAAAAAGGGAGCTAAACCACATGGCTAAGTGAAGACTTGGCAGGGGATTGGGGCTGAACAGCCTTCCAAAATGGAATGGGAAAAAACAAACAAAGAAACAAACAAACTACTAGGAAAAATGGCATAGATGGATGTAATGTTAGCTTTAGTTTTAACGTTTTGGAGATCTCTTAGCAGTTAGGCAGCTTAGTATTAATGTTGACAGAAAATAAAGTTTGTCTCTGGTAAGATTTGTATAAGGAGATTTTGACCTGCAAAGACATTAACAATATACTCTTAAGGGAAGTAAAGTTAAAACAAACAGTATTCATTACATTTATTTATAGAATACTGGGCGCTTGTTAAACAAACAAGTCTCTCTTGTATTATGCTGATTTTTAAAGTAGTTGTGCCTTTTTTTTTTTTTTTTTTTTGGAGACAGAGTCTTGCTGTGTTGTCCAGGCTGGAGTGCTGTTGAGGATCTCAGCTCACTGCAACTTCCGCTTCCTGGGTTCAAGATATTCTCCTGCCTCAGCCTTACAACTAGCTAGGATTATAGGCATGTACAACCACACCAGGGTAATTTTTGTATTTTTAGTAAAGACAGGGTTTCACCGTGTTGGCCAGGCTGGTTGGTCTCAAACTCCTGACCTCGTGATCCGCCTGCCTCAGCCTCCCAAAGGGCTGGGATTACAAGCGTGAGCCACCGCGCCCGACCCCAAAATAGTTGTGCATTTTTATATGACAATTTCTAGAAGGACTAAAAATTTCTACAGAGCAGTGATCACAAGATGGTAAGGTTTCAGGTATTTTGAAGTTTTTATTAAAACATTTTGTGTCTCTAGATATTAAGGACTTAGAAATGAAGAAACGTCACAGGGGAGCCTATTTCAAAAATGATAAATACATTTATTTAGAAATTGATGTTTCTCTGTTTCTACCATACACGAGGTGGGCAGGATAGATAATAGCATCTTATAACCCATGGCCCAGAGTGACTGGGTAATGCCAGTTTTCACTCCCCCAGTCCCCAGAGTGGTTCCCAGATGTTCCCACACCTTGTTCAGAGAGCTCTTTCAAATCTACAGAAGATATTCAATTAACTCTTCCAAGGCCACACGTCTTCCTAGGACACACAGGATGAAAGACACCTGACATGGCTCAGCTAGAAGTACAGCAACTGAAGTCACAATATAAAAGTAAAATAGCATATCCATGGCGTTCCAACCCTTATTTAAACATTAACGTATAATTTCACTTCATAAAAAATTAGCAAAATGCTGAAGGATCCTAAACTTTCAGAAATTACCTGCTTAATTTAATTATTTAATTTATTGTTATTTTTCAGAATTTTACAATCCACAGTAAAGTTGAAAGAATAGTACAGTGAACACCCATTTATCCTTCACCAAGGTTTAATAGTTGATTACATTTTGTCATGTATGCATAATTTAATACACAGTATAAAAATATTTTCAGGCCAGGTGAGATGTCTCACACCTGTAATCCCAGCACTTTGGGAGGCCGAGGTGGGCGGATCATGAGGTCAGGAGATTGAGACCATCCTGGCCAAATGATAAAACCCCATCTCCACTAAAAATACAAAATAATTAGTTGAGCGTGGTGGCCCATACCTGTAATCCCAGCTACTCGGGAAGCTGAGGCACGAGAATCACTTGAACCCGGGAGGCGAAGGTTACAGTGAGCGGAGATTGTGCTACTGTACTCCAGCCTGGGCGACAGAGGAAGATGTCTAAAAAATATATATATATGATTTATATATATATATAAAAATCATATATATAATTTATATATAATTTATATATAAATTATATATAAATTATATATAAATTAAATTATATATATATTATATATATAATTATATATAATTTATATATAATTTAATTTATATATAAATTATATAGTTTATATATAAATAAATTTATATATAATATATAATATATAAATATATATATTTATAAATTATAATGTATACAAATATGTAATATATATTTATAAATTTATATTTATATTTATATTTATATTTATATTTATATATTTATATATATTTGTATATATTTATATATGTTTATATATAATATATAATATATAATATATATTATGTATTATATAGAAATATAAATATATTTATAATATATATTATATATATTATATATTATATGTAATATATTATATATTATATATTATATGTATTATATATATTATAAATATATTTATTTATATTTTTATACATTATGTTTTATATATTATATATTATATTATATAAATTTATAAATATAAATATAAATACATATATTAAATTAATTATACATATTAAATAAATATATAATATATATTATATATAATATATTTATATATTATATATTATATAATAATTTATAAATATATATATAATTTGTAAATTATTAATATATAATATATATTATATTTATTATATAATATATATAATATATAATATATTATATATTATATAATATATACAATATATAAAAATATATACAAAAATATATGTATATTTATAAATTTATTTATAAATTTATAAATTTATACAAAATATATTTATATTATATTTTTTTATTTTATATATATTTAAATTAAATTAAATTAAATTAGATTTTTTCTACAAAATTACTCTTTGTTTTCTCTCTCTTCATACTGCACTCTGGAAATAAGTCACTATGTGAAACCTACACTAAGTTAATAAATAGGGGAGTTATGCTCTTCCTTCTCTAGGCTGGAATATCTTTTAAAATTATTTGAAATTCTCCTGCATGGGAGATTTGTTTACTCTCCCTCATTTAATTATTTTATTTAATTACTTATTTGAATTCTAAAATTAGCACTATACATTCTCTCAACATCATTTTTTCATATCTCTTTGGTCTTTTTAAATCTGGGGTCAAATACCTCTTATTCAAACTTACGGTGATCCTGTTTTCCACTTACAGAAATGTACTAGTTGTCTTTTTTGTATTTAACCTGCATGATTTGTAAATAAATTTACTCGCTAACTATTTGGGGATTTTGCTATTTATTTTTATTTATTTTCTTGAATAAAAATCTGGTTAGTGAAAAAACTAGAGTTCTTTTAGGGTATTATGTGGAAGAGGGATTCGGAGCCTCAGGATATCATAAAATTTGTTGCACTGGAAAGATTTACCTATAAATGCATATTCCAATCATGAACAACTAGAAGAGACCTAGAAAGCATCACAAATCTCATTTCTAACAAAATGAATTGAAAATGACCTGAGAGAATAGAACATAGTGAGATAAAATGAACAAACTGGTATGAATAGCCACCAACTTTGATATTATTAAGGCTAATGTGATCCCTTTTTAAACTGCTTTTATTTCATAAAAAATGAATCAGTTTTATTTCGTAAAATGAATGCTCCTTCGATGTTTTTTTGAAATCCCAATTTGCCATCAATATTGATCCCATTTACTGGCTGCCCCTAAAATCACATGAATAAATGCCAGAGGATTTGGAATTGAATTGCATCATTTTGCAAAGTGCACACAGTTCAAAGCAAATTCTTTTCAAAGCTCTTCGCTAGCTCCTTGAAGTTCTTTCCAATTCTGATACTTTGGAACTTCAATGCTTTCTGATAGCTGACCCTTTTTACATCAATTTTATATCACAAAACTTATGTATTACCTCACATCAGTCACAAATCTTTTACACCTCAATCCTATTTGTATCCCTCCTATGTTTTGTACACCACAATATTTCATTCTCACCCTCGCAAATCAAAGTCAACCCCTTATAAGTCAGCTGACCCTTCCTTTTATCTTTTAATTCTGCTCTCCTCTATAGCAAGTTAGATGCTTGTACACATAAAATGTTTCCACCAATTCTCCCACTCCACAACTACCATTGCTATATCAACAAATAATTCTGTCAATTTAAAGCAGAAAATATTTGCAAGTAATTATTAGTTAAAATATTAAAAATGAGTCTGTAGTATATGACCTCAAGGATTTGATTTACATGATATTATTGGTAAGTTAGTAGTAGCAAGGGCCATTTTTTTTTTTCCTAACAATAGACCCTGATCCTACCCTTAGTTATTTGGGTCACAGGAAAATTAGGTAAATGTGATGATTAATTCAAATGAAATTAATCAACATCACTGGTAACAATCAAGGTATAAATTTATAGACATCTAAGCCAGGCCTAAAATATATCTACTCCTTCTCTCATCTGTTCTTTCAGTTTCTTCTACAGTATCTCACCAGCTGGATGTCAAATATATGCTGGAAGGCTTCTATGTAAAGTGACATTAATACCTCTTCAAACAGTCTATTTTAGAAAGTTCAAATCTATTACAAAATCCCTGGTCATCCAAGGGCCAAAACACATAATACTTTAAAAGAAGTCTAGTTTTTTCACTAACCAGATTTTTATTCAAGAAAATAAATAAAAATAAATAGCAAAATCCCCAAATAGCGAGTAAATTTATTTACAAATCATGCAGGTTAAATACAAAAAAGAGAAATTTTGACAAGTACATTTCTGTAAGTGGAAAACAGGATCACTGTAAGTTTGAATAAGAGGTATTTGACCCCAGATTAAAAAAGACCAAAGAGATATGAAAAAATGATGTTGAGAGAATGTATAGTGCTAATTTTAGAATTCAAATAAGTAATTAAATAAAATAATTAAATGAGGGAGAGTAAACAAATCTCCCATGCAGGAGAATTTCAAATAATTTTAAAAGATATTCCAGCCTAGAGAAGGAAGAGCATAACTCCCCTATTTATTAACTTAGTGTAGGTTTCACATAGTGACTTATTTCCAGAGTGCAGTATGAAGAGAGAGAAAACAAAGAGTAATTTTGTAGAAAAAATTTAATTTAATTTAATTTAATTTAAATTTAAATTTAATTTAATTTAAATTTAAATATATATAAAATAATTAAATAAAAATATAATATAAATATATTTTGTATAAATTTATAAATTTATAAATAAATTTATAAATATACATATATTTTTGTATATATTTATATATATATTTATAAATTTATATTTATATGTATATATTTATATATATTTGTATATATATGTTTATATATAATATATAATATATAATGTTTTATATATTATATATTATATTTTATATGAATTTATAAATATAAATATAAATACATATATTAAATTAATTATATATTAAATAAATATATAATATTATATTATATGTAATATATTAATATATTATATATTATATATTATAATTTATATTATATATATATAATATATATAAATATACCAATATCAATATTTTTTGTTTTCCATATGATCAAAGAGAGCTATTGGAATATTCACACAGGAAAGGAAGATCTTTTTGTTTCTTTTTAAGTACATATATGGGTTAATAGAAACGTGCTAACCATATAAATAAATCTATTTTAATTAGACCTATTATGCAGAATTTGTAAAAATTGCAAGGCTGACTGTGAGTTTTTAGTAGCATGAATGGGTTGTGAATCAGCAAAAATTGGCCATGGAAAAGACCAGGAGTCCTAAGCAGGGTTCTAAGTCTAATGAGAGTGCTTTTCTTCCTGTAAATTACAAATAAATTATGTATCAGAAAAGCCTCTTATTCAATCAAATTGTACATCTTGACACAAGGTAACATGCTTTAAATTGCTCACACTGCTAGAGCTAATGCTTGAATTAAGTAAGTAACTCATAATAGGTAGTTTATATTCTGTTTCATTTTGTATTTAATGTGGCACTGCATGCAGATACAAGGAACGCAGCAGTTGTTCTTACTAGCTTTAATACATATGCTGGAAACCCTCCAACTCAGGTGTGGGATTTTAAAAAGGGGGTGGTTCTTTGTTCCCTTTTATGCCATTATTTTAATGAGCATAATCACTGGTATATGACATATTAGAGGCAGGTACTTTAGTGTCTTGTTCATCACTTACTGCTCAAGGACATCATATTTATAGTACCTGGCACTAATACATTCAACAAATAATTATGGGGTGATAATTTGCTGTATTTATCATATTATAAGGAAAGACTGATATTTCTTTGAGCTGATTCTAGTATCATTGTTGGGTAGAGACATCAGTGTTCTCAGGAAGAAGTCTAGCAAGACAGAGAGAGATAGAGTCTGAATTCCCAGGATGAATTCTGGCTCTCTCCCTTTAATAACTGCGCTTTCTTTAATTAAGGTTTTTACGTGAAGATTAAACAATACATTGCATGTGAAAAATAGAGCATAATGCCTAATTCTGCTGTGCTCATTAAATATGAATACATACACACACACACATTTCTTTCTTTCATAAGTGTTAACATTAGAAAGGCTGTATCTCTGAATTACGTGTTAGGAATCGTGATACTGAATATATGAAACTGACTTGAACAGCAAAATTTGGGTTCAATATTAAAGCTACTTTGTAAAAATGTTTTAAATTATAGTTAGTAATATTTATTTACCTGTCTTTTAGTGATAGTTATGAATTTTATTATAATATAATACTATATTATGTGAAACTATTCAATGTGTACTTTGGCAAATTAATTTCTCCACACCTCAGGATTTTAAAAAATACATTTAATACATGGAATATATTGTATGACCAGTAAATACAAGATCGATACTATACTTATAAATTAATAAAAACTAACTTGATGACCAGTACATATCATGGCATTCA
Organism: Homo sapiens; assembly: GCF_000001405.40. Taxonomy (NCBI): domain Eukaryota; kingdom Metazoa; phylum Chordata; class Mammalia; order Primates; family Hominidae; genus Homo; species Homo sapiens. Next base: position 31,426,072 of record NC_000009.12, on the reverse strand, counting down.
CTTATATATAATATAAAGTGATGCAGTATATACACATGGCTTTTGAGCTGAATATTTTTTAACTAAACACAATTATTATAGCAAATTGTTCACCCTGAAATATTAAATTACTTTATGTGGTACGTTACCAATCCTATGTCAACATTTGAGTGCTCTATTGATAAACCAATGAATATATTTTTCCAACAAACACATTTATACCTTGTCACTGTACCCCATAATATCATCCTTGCAGTTTGATTTGTTGTCCCTGAAGCTACAGCAACACTTCTGTGCACACCAACCAGCTTGTAAGGGCACCGAAGGACCCCAGATGTCACTCAATATTTTATCTACACCAACATAATTTTCTGCAGGCTTCTTTGCTCTTCATACAGGAAGCTAACCCGAGGGACCAAGAGAGTCACAGAGGTAGTTGCAGATAGACATATGTACTGGCTTCTTTTCTAATTAAATCATTCAGCTTTTTCTCAGAACTTTTCGTTTCTCTCTGATTTTGGCTTTGTCTAGCTGCCAAAGTAGCTGATTTTGATTGCTACTTAGACATTTGTTGTGTTGTAATATGCGTTTTCCCTGCTGTAAGGAAACAAGAATGAGCGCTTATGAGGCACAGTCTGAGCAGCAGCCACTGTGCTATAGCAGTGTCACCTAGGTGGAGGCCCAAACCCTGACTCCATGCAAACAAACTATAAAGCTCTGAGATAGGGAATTTGGCAGAAATTGATAAAACGTGTTAGATGTTATAGAACAGAGTTAGGCATGGGATTAAAGGTTTAGATGAACGCTTTCAAATGTTTTGGACTCAGGAACCATTTACACTTTTAAATATTGAGTTATTCAATGAGTTTTTAAATTATAATTTTTTCTTTGTTCACTAGATTACTAGTGTCTTAGATTTCCTTTACTAATTTGCTTATTTTATCTGCATAGGTATGTCTTTGTTTTACTGTCTAATTATACCTGACTTCTTTGTATTCAAAATTGGCAACTAAAGCAGATTTTCCTTCAAAAAACACCAAACACTTGTTTCCGTGCATCATTTTATGTTATGCATACATAGCATACATATGCATATATATTAATGTTTATAAACATATATGTGTGTATGTATATATTGCTATTACTAAATATACATATGTATACATATATATTTTTACATACATATATAAATATGTATACATATGTGAGTATGTGTATATTACTATTACTATTTATACTATGGATACATATACAAATTTAAAATATGTATACATATGTATACATAGATAAATTTTAAAATTTTAAATATTTCTATTACACAATATGCAAGAAAAATGAGATGCAGCATTGACTATGAGCAGACTTAAAATACAACTACCCATATTAAATAATGGATTATTTTTAATAAATTCAGATATACATCAGAGATGGAAGTGTTATATATAAGACATATTCATACATAAATAATATAATATGATTAGGATGGGTGTGTGAATGCATTAGAACAATATTATGGACCATCATACTATGTATGTGACTTACATATCTAATCGGAAATGTATAAGTAGTTTCATTAGAAAGAAGTAAAAAAAAATAATTTTTAGGTTAGTTGCTGCGGTGTACCTGTAATCTCAGCACATTAGAAGGCCAAGGCGGGTGAATCACTTGAGCCCAGGAGTTCTAGACCAGCCTGGGCAACACAGTGAGACCCCATCTCTACAAATAATACACAAATTAGTTGTGTTGTGGCTCAGTGCACTTGTGGTCCCAGCTAATGGGAGGCTGAGATGGGAAAACCACCTCCCACCTCAATCACCTCCCACCTCACAGTCGAAGCTGTTATCGTGCCACTGCACTACAGCCTGGGTGACAGAGTAAGATCCTGCATCAGAAAAATAAATATTGAAATAAAATTAATTTTAAATGTACTTAGTTTAGGCCATTCTATAAAATATTCCTATTTCAACATGCAAGCAGTGTAAAAACTGTTAATGTAATTTTTTCTATTCTTCAGAATTTGGTGTATATTTTACAATTACCACACATCTCAATTCAGACTAGCCACATTTTAAATGTTCGATAGACTCATTGACCAGCACAGTTCTATACAAAGAAGGAAACAATGTTTCTCAACATTAGCTGCAGTAATGAGAGGAAGAGAATTTTTTTTTTCCTCTGGGTAAATATTTACCCATTCTACTTCTACTTAGTCGGAAACAGAAATTTTGGATTTATGGTAAACAAAACTCTTAAAATTATGTAATTTCTTCCTAAATGTTCATTTTAAAAAATTACTTCAAATATTAATTATAGCTCTTACAAATTTAATACTATGGTGTCTACAACAATATTCTACTTAATATATATTGATAGCTCCAAAACAATTCTGTGAAACTTATATGGAAAATATTTGAGTATTGAATAAAAATATCAGTAAAGTACATCAGAAGTTTGATGGCTTTTAGCTCTACACATCATTTTACCTCAAAGATTTATAATTAGCAACCATCTGAATAAGAAGAATAAACTATTAAAATATTTTGGTCAATAGAATTGTTTACATGATGGTAAAATTATACAGTAGGAAGAGCTTGTATTAGCAAGTTCTGTAGAAATAGATTCTAATATTACCTGTCCCATTTACTTGCTAGGTGGCTTGGCGAAAGTCCTGTGAACCCCAGTTATCTCATCTCTAAAATGATTATGTTTTCCTTTAAGAACTGTGAAAATAAAATAAATATTATCAAAGACCAGTCCAATTTCTATGAAATTTTGAGTTAATGTGCATGTATTTTTAAATATATGTATAAACTTATTCTAATTTTTAAAATTAATCTGCTTTCTGGTGAATTCAACTTTATTATTGACAATTATCTAAACCATTCTTACAGCATTACTTATGGAGTAATATATTTAGTAATACATGCTAATTTTATATATATATATAATATTTATTTTGTTCTGTAGGTTTGATATGGTTTGGATATATGTCCCTGCCAAATCTCATGTTGAAATGTAATGCCCATTGCTTTAGGTGGGGCCTGGTGGGAGGTGTTTGGATCATGGGATTGTATCCCTCATGAATGCCTTAGCACCATCCACTTGGTACTGTCTTTGTGATAGTGATTTCTCACAAGATCTGGTTGTTTAAACGTGTGTGACACCTCCCCGCCCTCTCTCTATTTTGCTTGCACTCTCACTATGTGATATGCTGGCTCCTCCTGTACCTGCCGCCATGATGGTAAATTTCCTGAGGCCTCACCAGAAGCCAAGCAGATGCTGGGTGCCATGTTCCCTTTACAGCCTCCAGAATTGTGAGCAAATTAAACCTCTTTTCTTATAAATTACCCAGTCTCAGGTGGGCAACACAGGAATGGCCTAATACAAGGTCTATCAGTGTTTTTATAACAGCACCATTTCTTCATTTTTAGTAAGAAAATTATTTCCAAGAATGTCTATATCAATATTTAAACTATTCCCATACTTTAAATAAAAAATATATGTTCAAGTTAAATTAGAAATGTAAATACTATAGTTTTCTTTAAATAATTACATGTCTTTCAAACTATAAGTTTTGCGTCTATTATTAGTTTGTTATTATGTTTTCTACCATGAGTTTTAAATCATGAGAGAAATTGAGATGTTAATGGCATTATTCTAGCCATTGGAATGATTATATTATACACTTATAATAAATCTATATTAATTAAAAAGCTTAGATGAATGTAGATGGGTTCTGAGATTCCCTGTGATTGAAACTGGATCTATGGGTAAGTTCTGGAGACATGTGGGGCACACTATAGTAAGAGCCTACTTCCTCAGCTTGGATTGTTATAACAAGTTTAAAAATAGCAATATGACAGTTTATGCCATTTTTATTCTTTCGACTTAAATTTTCATTTAAAACTGATGACATATAGAGATGAACTTAATTTAAAGTTTACAGAATCATAAGCATTGGGCCTGGTAATCTTTATTTTTAACTAGCCCCAAAATTGCTTTTTATACACACTCATATTTAATTAAGAACCACTGCAGTAACTCAATTTATCATTAACGTGTCCAGCTAAGTGAAAATTGAGAAAAACAAATGGAAGAAGACACATTTTCAACTCATATAAATTGGTTATCAGTAAATAGTCTCAAGAAATTCAGGGAAACAACTGAGATACAATTTTAAGGCTGTTGCTATCCACTATCACAGTATCTACTATCCACAGGTAGACAGAATAGTAGAAAGGAGTCATTTTATACCCATTTTACAAAGACAGAATTCAAACATTACTCAGAAGAAAAAAAATATGGTAAAGCAAATTGCACTCTGTACTGGCCAGGATTTAGTAAGTGGGGGAGAAAACACTGTACTGTGTAGGAATAAACGATTTACTACAGGAAACAGAACACACACAATAGTAAGAGGATCTTGGAAAGTGGAGGTCCAGGAGGACTTGCTGAAGGATCAGAAAAGTCACCAACTATTCATCCGAGAAGCTAAGCAAGTGTCACCTCTGAATTGGAACTGTGAATAGAATGTTTCTAGATAGATTTCTGAAAGTTGGTCCCCTCCATAGCTTCCACCTTTGCAGACAGGTGACATGAGCAGGGGAACACAGAAAGAGAGAGCAGTACCAGCATTTGGGAATAATTGGATGCAGAGTGGAAGAGAGAAAACAAACACCACTGAGCACATCTGTCTGCTATCATGTCTGACTATACAGAAACTAAGGGAGGTCAACTTCAGAGACTGTAGGGCACTATTTCACTTTCAAACTCCATATCTCATGCAAATTCCCCTGTTGTCCAACTCCAATCCAGATCCGTACTAGGAAGGGGATTATATGAAACATAGTTCCTGGATTAAACAAACTGAACCAGAACAAACCAATATACACTCTTAATATTTGCAGATGAGAAATAGGACTGACTACATAACACTGTCTGAATTAAAAAATGATTAAGCATACCAATATTTATATGCAAATAATGAACATAATTAATAATAATAATAGTAATTCATGAAAAGAACATCTCCAAATTCCTCCAGGAATTAGAAGAAAAATTAAGACTTCACCAGCTCAGGATTTTCAAGAAAGTTAAATAAAACAAAACTCCTATAAATCATAGGTGATGAAGCTTCATAACGAGAAGAAAAAAAAGATGGCAAAGATCTATATTGAAAAAGTTAAGTCATGACATTAGCAAAAAGTAGGTCTTTTGTAACTTGTTGTCAAGCAGTCACTAGATTTGGAATAGACCCAGAATATGTGTATCCTACTACACGTTTGGCTTCTCGTCTTGAAAGTACCAAAATGTTTAGGATAACACATTTTTGTTTGATTGTTATTTTTTGAGATGGAGTCTCACTCTGTCATCCAAGCTGGAGTGCAGTAGCATGATCTTGGCTCACTGCAACCTACACCTCCTAGGTTCAAGTGATTCTCCTGCCTCAGCCTCCTGAGTAGCTGCGATTACAGGTGCCCGCCACCATGCCTGGCTAATTTTGGTGTTTTTAGTAGAGACAGGGTTTTGCCATGTTGGCCAGGCTGGTCTTGAACTCCTGGCCTCAAGTGATCTGGCCCCCTCAGCCTCCCAAAGTGCTGGGATTACAGGCATGAGCCACCATGCCAGGCAGGATGACACATTTTTGAAATAGGGCTGTGATCAACCCAAAGGCTCACTTTCTTTTAACTAACAACCATGATGCTGTTGTCTTTATGATAAAAAATGTTTCTCTGAATATTAACTTCACCTAATTATAAGTAGCACCCCTATGGTATGCCATATTCTGATTGTATAAGGAAACTCTCTAATAATGAATTGAATAGCATTTCATCTGGTATGAAACCACTAGCTTGCAGCAATTTGAGGATTTTCCTTCCACCCTTCCACTACTGTCCTTAGGCCCAATTTCACATGGCAACTACTCACTGAATCAACTTTAAGCTGACTGAATTGAGAGTGAACATGCAGCATTATCAGCTGCGAGATATAGGATGTTTTCTATTTGTTATGGCAGTCATTTTTTTTTCTTTTCATCGCTGTCCTTGTAGTAGAACACTCCAAATGGAGTGTGACTTTTTAATCTTCCTATGGGCACAACCTTTTTCACATACTCCTTTAGGATTAGGAATGTCCAAGGGATGCAGCACCCACTAATTAAATCTAAAGAATATAGCCATCCCACACTTAGAAGAAAGTCTGCCATTGGAGATCTTTCATTTAAATGTTCTAGATAGTGGATTATGATATAAAGGTCTTTCACCTACTGTAGTGATGCAGGATATTTTCTTGACCCCTTTCTGGGGCTCACGACAGGGGGGCCCGATTTACTCAGCCTGTCCTGCTCACCCCATTGCAGGAGGGAGCGTGTAGGGGAGCAAGTGCAGGAACCAGCCAGCCACTTCAGTGCTGGCAGGAGCAAACTCTGTGAAGGCACTGCTGCAGCATCCAGGTTGGGGTGCCTGCAACCCCAAGGCCCCAGAGGTTGTGTTACAGTGCTCTTTTAGCTCTGCAGTCTGTGGACAACAGTGTGTTATCAGTTCAGTGGGCCCTTTGCCTTGTTGAGTGGGGCAGCTGCCATCTGCCAGCAAGGGCAAAAGGCCGGTGTGACAGCCTTTTTGGGTACCCACACTTGGTGGGTCCCAAATTCTTGTCTAGTGCCCAAGAAGAATGAGGTCATGTGAACAAATTGAAAGATGGTGAATGTGGAGAATTTCATTGAGCGATGAAAGTGGCTCTCAGCAGATAGGGGAACTGGAAAGGAGACGGGAAGGGAAGGTCGCTCTCTGCTGAAGTAAGGTTGCCTCTCTCCGATGTCCAGCTGTTGTCTCTGGAGTCAAGCTGCTTCTTCTTGTCTAGCTACTCTGAGTCTAGGGTCTTTATAGGCACAGGGGGGCAGGGCAGGCCATAGTTAGTTTTGGAAAAGGCAATATTCAATTTTTAAAAAGAAATTATTCAGAAAGAACTGCTCAGGAGAGAGTGGACACACATGGATGGAAGTTCTCACTTTGGGCTGCAGGTTTCAGGCATTTTGGCTCAAAGGTGGGGGTTTCGCCAGGGACCCACCCCTGTCTGCCTAGAGTTTCTCTACCTCCTGTCTCTATCACTAGCAATATACAATCTGCATTTACCTATCCTTTCTTGGCTCTGTCTCCCTTGTTTACTTAATATGTTAATGAAACTCCTATCAGTGCACAATAAATTAATTACATACACATAAAACAGTTATACGATATAAGGTCTGTAAAAATATGGACTTTTTAAAAGAAGAGCAATGTATAGAAATGATAAGGTTACTCATATCCCTGGCATGTTTGTTTAATAAATATATTATTTTCTCATTACTACCTATTTTTGAGGGTAGATGCAACATAAATATTACAACTGAAAGTTAATGTAGATCCTTACATTCCATAAAAAGTTGGCCTACTTCAGCTCACTGTTTTCGTGGTTTAACCAAAAACGAAAGCGAATTTAAGCAACCTTGTGTGTAATAGAACGTAACTTTGAGCTATGAAATGTCATATTGCTTATATGTGGACTGTGAGAAAATAATCTAAGAATTTGTGAAACTATTCCATAATTATTAAAATATGTTGCTATAGAAAGCAAATGGAATACATATTTTGTATGTTTGAGAGTGAGCAGTTAAACTGTAATTTTCTGCTGTAGACAGTTATCTAAGATGGAGTCACTGAGCTTCTGAAGTAATTAACAGAAAGAATAAAAATCATGTTTTTGATTTACGAGATAATTTTTACTAGAATAAGGTTTATATGTGTCCTCTTTACTCATTAGATAATTTTAAGTGGCTTTCTATTTATTATTAAATGTGGGAACTGTGTATTTAATGCACTAATAATTTTACTCATTTGAGAAGATTGGAAATTTTGCTTTTTCCTACCATGTATTAAAGGAATAGCATGTAAAAGACCATATCCTAATCAGAGTTGTTCAAAGGGGTATTGAAAGTCAGTATCTTTAACAAAGAAGTGTATGACAGTTATACTTAATCATTTCTGCCACTTTTGAATTTTTATCTAAGTGAGTGATTATGTAAATAAGCTAGCTGTTTCCCTGATGGACTAGTGTCATTTCATGCCGGTAGAAACTGGAATGAAACAAATTAAGAGACATTATATTACTCTATATTTTCATGTGAATTTATATCAAGAAGGGGTGGTGATTCTGAATTTTACACTAATGTGGCTTTTATTAGTGCACAGTAGCTATGTCCACAGAATGTCATGTGTCACTTCAGCTGTTAATTTTAATACTTCCATTTTTAATGGAATTTGCAACAAATTACCTGTGATGGTAAGATTCTACTTTAATATTAAGTGTTATGATTTCAAGTGTTCACTACTCTAGTGATATGATGATAGTTTAAGCTAGCTATGCGCTATGGCTTTGTTCTCATCCTGATTTATCCAGTTCCAATTTTCAGACAGTCTCAATATCCTCTGATGTAAGAGACCAATGTGACTGCAGCCATTTACTTGAATTCTGTGGCTAACATACCCTATAGACATTATGGTTTCCCTCAGTGGAAAAATGTATGTAAATATGTCTTTTTGAAGTGTGGTTCCTTTTCCCTGATTCAAATTTCCTCCAATTTCTATCTGCTTTTGTTTACTGTCTGGTGGCTTCAAAGAAACTTCCCTTACAAGTACCTAATTGCCGTATGAAGGGCTATTAGCCTAATGATAGCTATTCCACCATTACCAGAACTATACGTTTTTAAGTTACAGTTCTTTTCCTCTTTGTATGTGGATCCATTAAAAAAAATTAGAAACAATAGGATTTAATTACAGAAATTACCCTGTGTAAAAGTTTTGTAATGAACTTACTTCTAATTTTAAAAGATCCTTTTTTTTCTAAGTTACTCTATCTGTGAAGCACTGTGGTCTTTTTTAAATTACTTGAACTTTTAGGATATCATACCATTAATAGTCATGTTGACTCTATACATAGGGATTTTAATGAGCTTTATGATCATGAATTTCTAGTTATGATTTTTAAAAATGTTCTTGTTTTTAATAAGTAGCAAGAGGTGCATATTTCTACTTTCATCAGCAATATGTTCTCAACAACAGCTTTAAAGGTTTAGGTTCACTTTGAGTTCAAGCAGATAAACTGCCCAAACTATTATTTAGAATAGATCAAATTAAACCCTTGTTAGAGCGTATTCATTTACTCCAGAAAATGTTATGCAAGTACATGAGTGAATATTGGAAGACAAACAAAGACAACAAAAATATCAAATAAAAAGATCAATATATTGCCCAGAAACTAACAAATTATTGATCTACATGCATGCATTTTCACAACAGAAAACAAAAGAACTAAAAACAATAAAATAAACATTAGGTGAGAAGTATCTTAACTAACATGAAAATTGAAAAGGGGTAAAAAAATATGAGAGTCCCCTATGTGGACATGAGATATGTAGTCAATCTAGAGTTTTAGTACATTTTCATTTCATTTTAAACAACTGTTGATCTAATTTATTTTATCTATAGTATTGTACCCTATTATTCTGCGTACAGACTATAACATCCCTTCTTCACCATGCTCATATGAAAGAGAATGAAAGGGAAGGACAGTGGCAAGTGTGATATACCCAAATATTTAACCTCGCCAATCAGACATTGGCTCATAATCCCCCTATAAATCCTCATTCACACCATCGCCCAAGTGTCTACAGTGGGTACCGCAGCAGCACTTCACGTTTATCTTTCCCACTTACAGTAAGTTAAACATGCAATTACTGTCTTCTCCAATTCTCTGAAAGTCTGTTTCACTTCTATGAATATTTCCTTTTTCTAGTTTTGGTTTACTATAGCTTTGACCTCAAAGAGCCGCTGTCTATGCCCCCCACCCTTTTTTTTTTTTTTGAGACGGAGTCTCGCTTCTTCACCCCCAGGCTGTAGTGCAATGGCACAATCTCGGCTCACTGCAATCTCTGCCTCCCGGGTTCAAGTGATTCTTTTGCCTCAGCCTCTTGAGTAGCTGGGATTACAGGTGCCCACCACCACACCCGGCTAATGTTTGTATTTTTAGTAGAGACGGGGTTTTTCCATGTTGGCCAGGCTGGTCTTGAACTCCTGACCTCAAGTGATCCACCTGCCTCAGCCTCCCAAAGTGCTGGGATTACAGGCGTGAGCCACCGTGCCTGGCCTATGCCCTTCTTTTCTCAATGTCTCTCTCTTACCTAAATAGTCTGAGTAAGGTTTCTTTTCAAGACAGCACCTAAAATACAAAGTTTCTGTTAAGAAAACCTCCTTTCTCTGTCACCGTAACAAGAGACTTGGATACTAAAGGCCTGCCTGTCCTTCCATACCTCCTCATTCAGCAAGTAAAATACACAAATAGATATCTCAATTTTTTTTCTATTTTATTTTATTAGTAACTTTTTTCTTCCTAGATTAAGGTACGCACACACACAGACACACACACACACACACACACACACACACAAATCCTGAGGTAGCTTATTAATGATCTCTGGAATTTCCAGAATTTTCAGGGCTAGGGAAAACTAAGAACAGGATTATCCATTTCTAAAGCTAGATTAGATCTCTTAATTTTGCCTAATTTAAGACAGAAGTCATCTGCACATCCCTGCAAATTTTAGATATTGCCATAAAACCAAATTAGTACAATAAAATGTAATGGTTTCCTAACAGAAAGCACATTCTAGAATTTAATGCACTATTGATTCCTTGCCAAAAGGAGAAATATCTTGAACTGTCCTCATCTAAGAAGAATTGCACTTTGAAGACTGGCTGTCAGTTCACAGCATGAAGCAAATGTTTCAAAAAAAAAAAAAAAAAAAAGAACAAGCTGCTCTTGAGCTACAAGAAGGATGAGAAACTGAAAACTATCAATTCTGTATTTTTCACCTTTTCCATTTTTCAGTGGATGTTTATAAAGCAAATCAGTGTGTCTAAGTTTTGACATGACAGCCAAGTAAATAGGCCAAATCGTTTGCCGCAGTTGTAATCATGACAAACTGACATATCTTGGTTTGATTATTCATAATGACAAGAAGCAAAAAAATAGGGACATATGGGATAAACAGGCCCCTTGAATTTAGCCACAAATTGTTAAATCTCAGGTCACTAATTGCACAAGTTTCTTCTTACTCTGTTTCTAAGTTTCTTCTTACTCTGCCATTCAAGGAACTTCTCTGATATTGCCCTGATATGACTTTTCAATCTCTTTCAAACTATTAAACTTAAATTGCACTGCATTTTCATGATTTTCCTTATTTTTTTCTATTCTTCTATACATAACTGCTCTACATTCTCTTATCTTTCTACTTTGATCTCTATTCTTTTTGGCCTGCTTCCCACCCAGTTCTGAAGAGTTCAAAATGTACTCATGTTTTAAGACCTAAGTCAAATTCTTGCTATGCGTTAGGCAAATATTCCAAAAGAAATGTGTAATTCCTTTCTCTAAACTAGCAATGAATTCATTCGAAGCAATCTTTTGAGACATAGTATTGTATTATATAATTTATGATAAAAATCTAATCATGCTTCCTTGATTGTAAGTATCAGAGTTAACCCTTACTTATGTTACGGGCATCTCAATTACAATATGATCAATATCTGTTTAATTACTGAATGATTATCCAGTTGCACCAGAAATGAGGAAGCCTCATGGATAATGAAGCACATTGCTGTCAGGACCCCAGGAACAGCTTTTGGCATCTGGAATGGATAGCAAAGGTTCAGAGAACTCATGGAAAGATGAGTTCTTTAAATTCACCATAGTTTCCAAATTGCTTTAGAAAACTCTAAAGGAAATCATGAAACAATTAGGGCCACATCGATTAACTCAGCACTGCCTTTTTAACTTTTATTTATTTTTATTTTTATTTTTTACAGAGTCTAACTCTGTTGCCAGACTGGAGTGCAGTGGCGCAATCTTGGCTCACTGGAACCTCCACCTCCCAGGTTCAAGCAAGTCTCCTGCCTCAGCCTCCCGAGTAGCTGGGACTACAGGTGCGTGCCACCACGCCAAGCTGATTTTTGTATTTTTAGTAGAGATGGGGTTTCACCATGTTGACCAGGATGGTCTCGATCTCTTGACCTCGTGATCTGCCCACCTCAGCCTCCCAAAGTGCTGGGATCACAGGCATGAGACACTGCACCCAGCCAACTCAGCACTACTTTTACAAATTGTTACAAATATTATACTTTGGGAGCATGTATTTGACGTCTTATAGTTTTTATAGTTTTTAGATATCAAGTTCCAAATATTTCCAGATCACCTTGCCAACTGATATGTCAGAGACTCCTGAGAGAAGGAAAGCTTCAATACATCTACAAATTCTGACATTTCTGCCAAAAATTGTTTCAAAAAAGGCAAAATAATGGTCATTGGTGGTTATTGGATAGTAATTCATTAATGCATAATCACCATTAATAATTGTCTAGTATAGTCACTAGGAATTTAGAAGTGAACGATAAAAATGCAGTATATTATTTTAAGGAGGCTCATATAGAGATTTTCTTAAACTTAATGTTCTATATACATGTAGGAATCATATTAGTATAAACTATATGGCAAACCAGGTTTGATGCAGTTAGGGTTGTTGATTTTCCTCTGTTTTATTTTTTAATGCAATCAATTGAACAGATTTTTACAAGTTCTTATCTAAAGGTCAAGTACACAGATTAGGCCTTCTAAAATAAACTGAGACTGATTTGGTTCTGAAGTGAAAAAAATTTAAACATTTGGATTCAAACTGTTTGTGGTCTCTGAGAATCAATGCTAGGTTGCTGACAATATCAGAGAGGTCATGATACGTTTTACGAATACATTTTATTTCTCTGGAAAATGTCTATGATTATGAAGAATATGAACTTATACTATTAATTTGTTTGTATAAATATATCATGAGATCTTCTGTACTCAGAATTATAAGGAATGAAATGAAACTTCCTGAGAAATTAATCCTCCAGATTTCTAAAACTATTTCTTCTATGTACCAGTGTTTATTTTAAAATTTTGATAAAATTTTTCAAGAATTTCTTTCCTTGATTTGTAAACACATTATTTTCGAGATAAATCCTTGAATAAGGAGAGAATCTTAGAAAATATTTAGTGAAGCTTATTGATTTTACAGAGAAAATGTCTTGTCAGTGTCAGAACGAACACTATTAATTGAAGTTCCTTATTCCTTTTGATATTCCATATTGATTCTCAATAGTTTACTATTCCAAAACAATCTTTTTGATTATTAATAATATGCTGCTTTCTAATTGAGTGTAATGTTACCCCTATGGATGACTGGATGGGATATGGCTTGTTGTGCTTTAAAGTAAGTGATGTACTTTTGAGTGGAGTTGCTATATAGAAATATCAACTTTAGAAAGGTGGGTTGATTTTAATTTCTAATTATCATCAATAATTAAATAAATAGTTGATAATTAACACAGTTTACATTTTCCCTGGTAATTATGTATCATGTTATTTTTAAACATGTCCTTAATAAAAAATACAAGGATGAGATAACAATTTATTTGTCTTTAACTTGCTGTGTGCTATAACCATGAATTCTTTAGAAAAATAACAGGCATACTCAGTAAATAATCACTATATATTGATAGTGGGTTCTGTTTTCAAACCCTTATGTCAGACTTTCTCAATATGTTATACTACTTGGCTGATCATAAGTAACTGAGTTGATTGTTAGAAATGCAAATTACTGGTCCCTGCTTAAAACTGAGTAAATTCTCTAGAGGTGGTGTCAGAGAATCTGCATTTTGAATAACCAAAGAAAGGATTCTTGTGCAATTAACAATAAGAATGCCTGCCATTGTGGTTGCCTAATCTGGCATTTCATGAAATATAAGTAAATGTTTTATTCATTAAATTTTGGTTCAGAACTTAAAATGGAATAAACAAAATCTTCAGATCTGATTTGCATTGGGTATAGACCTTATATTTGAAATTTGGCCCTTGATTTTGTATCTGTGTGACAGTAGGAGAAAACAAGTAGGAGCTGTCTGAAATGATAAACTGTCACCTCCATTAAGGATTTCTTTGTTCTAATCCCTCCAAAAATAAAACATATTTTTGAGGGAGAAAAATATTTATTAATTTAAAAAGTTACTATTTTCTGAGATTCATTAGGATCATGGTCTCATATACAAAGCCCATATGTTTCTTTTTTGCATTATGTTCTTCTTTTTTTTTTTTAATTATACTTTAAGTCCTGGGATACATGTGCAGAACATGCAGGTTTGTTACATAGGTATACATGTGCCATGGCGGTTTGCCATGGCATCAACCCGTCATCTACATTAGATATTTCTCCTAATGCTATCCCTCCCTTTGCACCCCACCACCTGGCAGGCCCCCATGTGCAATGTACCCCTCCCTGTGTCCTTATGTTCTAATTGTTCAACTCCCACTTATGAGTGAGAACCTGCGGTATTTGGTTTTCTGTTTCTGTGTTAGTTTGCTGAGAATGATGGTTTCCAGCTTCATCCATGTCCCTGCAAAGGACATGAGCTCATCTTTTTTATGGCTGCATAGTATTCCATGGTGTATATTTGCCACATTTTCTTTATGTAGTCTATCATTGATGAGCATTTGGGTTGATTCCAGGTTTTTGCTATTGTGAATAGTGTTGCAGTAAACATACATGTGCATGTGTCTTTATAGTAGAATGATTTATAATCCTTTGGGTATCTACCCAGTAATAGGATTGCTGGATCAAATGGTGTTTCCAGTTCTAAAGCCTTGAGGAATCGCCAGTGTCTTCCACAATGGTTGAACTAATTTACACTCCTGCCAACAGTGTAAAAGCTTTCCTATTTCTCCACATCCTCTCCAGTATATGTTGTTTCCTGACTTTTTAATGATTGCCATTCTAACTGGCATGAGATGGTATCTCCTTGTGGTTTTGATTTGCATTTCTCTAATGACCAGTGATGATGAGCTTTTTTTTCATGTTTGTTATCTACATAAATGTCTTCCTTTGAGAAGTGTCTGTTCATATCCTTCACCCACTTTTTGGTGGGGTTGTTGGTTTTTTCTTGTAAATTTGTTTAAATTACTTGTAGATTCTGGATATTAGCCCTTTGTCAGATGGATAGATTGCAAAATTTTTCCTCCATTTTGTAGATTGCCTGTTCACTCTGATGATAGTTTCTTTAGCTGTGCAGAAGCTCTTTAGTTTAATTAGATCCCATTTATCAATTTTGGCTTTTGTTGCCATGCTTTTGGTGTTTTAGTCATGAAGTCTTTGCCCAATGCCATGAATGTTATTGCCTAGGCATTTTTTCTAGGGTTTTTATGGTTGTAGGTCTAATGTTTAAATCTTTAATCTTTCTTGAGTTGATTTTTGTATGACGTTTAAGGTAGGGGGCCAGTTTCAGTTTTCTGCATATGGCTGGCCAGTTTTCCCAACACCATTTATTAAACAGGGAACCCTTTCCCCATTGCTTATTTTTGTCAGGTTTGTCAAAAGATGGTTGTAGATGTGTGGTGCTACTTCTGAAGCCTCTGTTCTGTTCCATTGGTCTATATATCTGTTTTGGTACCAGTACCATGCTGTTTTGGTTACTGTAGCCTTGTAGTGTAGTTTGAAGTCAGGTAGCATGATGCCTCCAGCTTTGTTCTTTTTGCTTAGGATTGCAAATGTAATCCATCACTTAAACAGAACCAATGACAAGAAACACATGATTACCTCAATAGATGCAGAAAAGGCCTTCGATATAATTCAAGCTAAAAACACTCAATAAACTAGTTATTTATGGAACGTTATCTCAATATAATAAAAGTGATTTATGGCAAACCACAGCCAAAATCATACTGAATGGGTGAAAGCTGGAAGCATTCCCATTGAAAACCAGCAGAAGACAAGGACACCCTCTCTCACCACTCCTATTCAACATAGTATTGGAAGTTCTGGTCAGGGAAATTATGCAAGAGAAAGAAATAAAGGGTATTCAAATAGGAAGAGAGGAAGTCAAACTGTCTCTGTTTGCAGATGAAAATTGTATATTTAGAAAGCCCCATCATCTCAGCCCCCAAACTCCTTAAGCTGATAAGCAACTTCATCAAAGTCTCAGAATACAAAATCAGTGTGCAAAAATCAAAAGCATTCCTATACACCGATAATAGAGCCAAATCATGAGTAAACTCCCATTAACAATTGCTACAAACAGAATGAAATACCTAGGAATACAACTTACAAGGGATGTGAAGGACCTCTTCAAGGAGAACTACAAACCACTGCTCAAGGAAACAGGAGGACACAAACAAATGGAAAAACATTGCATGCTCATGGATGGAAAGAATCAATATCATGAAAATGGCCATACTACCTAAAGTAATCTATAGATTCAAAGCTATTCCTATCAAGCTACCATTGACTTTCTTCACAGAATTAGAAAAAAACTACTTTAAATTTCATATGGAACCAAAAAAGAGCCCATATAGCTAATAAAACATATTTTTGTTTGGACTTTGAACTACATGTTTGTTTCAGTTATTTTGGGCTAAATTTAGACTATGTTGTTGACTACTATAAGATCAAATGTTGTTTTATATGGTAAGATAATGAAGCTATCAGGGTCTTCTGTGAGGCAGAAAAATGTTGAATTAGTTAACTCATTTATTTTTTCAATGAATATTTATTAATAACTCACTAGGTACTGGAAAGAGAAAAATTCAAAAAAATTTCTATTAAGGAAACTACATTTTTAATGGATGTAAATACAATAAATGTATCTCCTGAAAAAGTGAAATGTAAGCAAAGATGTGAAGGTGATTTTAAAAATAAAGTCTGTGGATATCTGGAAGAAAATGATTCCTTGTAAAAGGAAGAGCAAGTGCAAGCACTCTGAGGGAGAAAAATTCTGAATATGTTTGGGAAACAGCAATTGTAACTGAAGTAGAAGATCTGGGGAGTATTAATGATGTCAGAGAGGTAATGGCAGGTGGCATCAAGGCCACTGAAGGAACTGGTTGGGCATCCTAAGGATTTTAACTTTTGCTCTGAGTCAAAAAGGAATCCTTCAAAAGATATTGAGCAGGCTATTGACAATATTTTAGGTTTAAAAAATTGTGAAGATGCCATGTTGAATAAACCATATTTTGAAGAAGGAAGGCAGCAGGATGACCTATTGGTATGTCTGGACTAGAAATGATGCTGAGTTAGGAGAGGATAGTAACAGTGGGAGTGGGAATATGTGGTCGCACTCTTGATATATTTTGAAGTTAGAATGAATATGACTTTGTGATGGATTTTAAAATAGAATGAAAGGGAAAAGGAAAGTTAAACACTAAGTTTTTGGTGTGAAAAATAAAAGATTTCTATTAACAAAGACAGGAACTGATTGAGCTAGTAACAGTTTTGAGGAGAAGATCAAGAGTTCAGATTTGAAAATATTAATGTTAAATTTTGATGCCCTTTTGAATCCAAGTAGATATGAATAGTTTTGGTTTTGAGGAGACAGAGCTTATCTGGAGACACCAATGTGAAATTGTCAACATTTAGATCATGCTTAACACCAAGAACCAGAATGAAGTCGTGAAATGTTGGCATGTTGGTACAGAAAGTAAGAGGACCACAGGGCAGACTTCTCTGAAACTGGAGAAGTCTGGCAAGAGAAACCAGCAAATGATTCTGAAAAAAAGGTAGCTAGTGAAGCAGGGAGACATCCATAAGTGTGCAGTGTTCAGGTTGTCACGTGAAAAAAAGTGTTTCAAAAAGGAGAATGGCCAAATGTGTCAAATGCTGCTGAGAAGTACAGCTATAAGAACAGTGATAACTGGTCATCAGATTTACTAATGTAAGGTCCTTGGAAATAACAGTCCTCTGTAGAAAGAAAATTACCAGGAATGGAATAGGGATTATTTCAGTGAAGACCTTGAGTAAGTGAGGTTAATTACACAAAAGAGGCCCAGTTGACCCAGGCAATAGCATGGACAAATCATCAAACATTTTCGTGACCATACATCCCAATTTGCCCAGGACAGAGCCAATTTACCTTTGGTGGTCCTGACATTCCTACAGTAAATATCAATAAAGGCCATGATCATGAACCAAAAGCAAGGCTAGTCAATATGATTTTGGCTTTTCCCCAGCTATATTTGGCTACAATGGTGTGGTGATTTGGATTTAACCAAAGAAGTGGTTTTATCAGCATAGTTATATGAAGAAAAGGAAGGGTGAGAGAATTGAGGATAGAGTAGTTCCCCCTTATGTCCGGTTTAACTTTCCAGTTCCATTTACCCACAACAGTGTTCTAAAAATTTTGAATGGAAAATTTAATAAATAAACAATTCGTAAAGTTTAAATTGTGCACCATTATGAGAAATGTAACAAAATCTCACACCATCCTTTTCTGTCTTATGCAGGACGTGAATCCTCCCTTTGTCTAGCAGATCCACACCGTCTATGCTACTCACTTTGTCACTTAGTAGCTGTCTTGGTGAGATCAACTCTTGTGATATTGGATATGCCAAAGAGAAGCTGAGTGAAGTGCTTTCTTTAAGTGAAATTGTGAAAGTTCTTGACTTACTAAAAAAAAGTCATGGGTTGAGATTGCTAAGCTCTACAGTTAGAACAAATGCATTCATTAAATTGTGAAGAAGGAAAAATAAATCTGTGTTAGTTTTGCTGGTGCACCCTAAACTGCAAACATTACGGTCACAGTGTGTAGTAAGTGCTTAATTAAGATGGTAAAGACATTAAATTAGCAGGTGGAAGGCATGAACAGAAATGTGTTCCAATTGACGGCATCGTGTTGCATCAGAAAGCATTGAGCCTATTCAAAGACTTCAACAAGTATCCTCTGTGAATATGGGGCGGGGGGTGGGGGGGGGGCGGTGAGGTGGGTACTACTGTATTTGCAAAAAGCTTGAAATATTTAACTACTGAATTTAATTGTGTAAGGTGGAGGAAATAAGGGGATGAGGGGGAATTAAAATTGGTGATATCAATATATTGCAGGTTTCAGTAGAGTTGACTGTTTCTACTGAGATAGAAAGGAGGTGGTGCTCACAGAATTTAATGTTGGAAATTGAGGTTGTGAAATCATTGAAGATATTGGAAATGATACCTTCTATGAATGCTCATGAAAGTAAGGGCTGAAATTAGGTGGAGAATGAAATCACTGGAGGAGAGAAGTTCAAGGATCAATAGGCCAGAGTATTGGACAGATCATCTAGACATTTATTGATATCTCTGAGAAATAGAACTGGTGTCATGTAGGAGACAGTGACAGTAATTTAGGAGTTAATATATTTAAGAAATGAGGAGGAGAATGGCCTTAAATTCTAACAATGACTAAAATTAGAAGTATTTGGTTATCTTAATCCTGTGACATGAAATTCAAAGCTATGAAAGTTTTTAGAAAGAAAGGCGATAAAGTGATCTAAAAATGAGGCTAAGGAGTAGTAATACACATTCCTACCTTAAAAAATAGTGAGAAAATGTGGTATGGAAATAAAAAGATTCAATACTTAGCAGGGCTATAGTGGAAACAGTATCTTCAAGAAATACCTAGCTCTCAGGTAACATAAAAAGCTAAATGAATCATAGAGAAATAAGGTAAGAATATGGATGGTTTTGTCAATGATAAACTGCGAGTTCCAGAGAATATGAAAGACAGGTTTCAGTAGTTGTCAAAGAGTAAGAGATGAATCAGAAAAGACAGTCTACAGAATCACATGAGGAATAGAATATAGGGAAAGAGGACTGACTGACAAGGGAGTTTGGGATTTCATGGGGGTAATTTATAAACAGAAAAGCAGGGTATGAATGGATTAATCCTGCAAATTTCAAAGCAGATAGTAATAACACTGGTGCTAATGTTGGCAGAGCAGGGACTAATGGAAGCTGGGAGCTTTATCAGATGCGGAGGGTATGCGATGAGTGTTTCCCTCCAAATGCTGCCTGTTGACCATGGTAGTGTATAGTCTTGGACAATAGAAGATGCACATAAGGGCTGAAAAAGAATGGTCTTAGGTTCCAGTTTTAGGAATTTTTTTCTGGATTATGCCAAATGAGGGTTTCGATCAAGAGGGTATTGACCTTGCTGTGAATATGGAAAGTTCAATGTTTAGCCCAAAGGAGGGGCAGCTCAGTTCAAGTGTGTGGGACTACCACTTGATATTAATTTAAATTTAATGCTATAACTAAAATTATCAAATGTTATATTAATAGTCAGGCTATTTGAAAATACTATAAATCAGTAAGAGACTTTCTCTTCTGGCCATCAGATAGCAATTGGTACTGTATTAAAGCTCTTTACGTAAACAGCTAAATCTCTGGACAAACTACATGAAACAGCTATTTTCAGACATTGAGCAACAAGCAACTAAGAAATACGATGCCTGAAAGTGGCTCATGGTTTTTACCTGGAAGCAACTTCTGAAGCCCAACCTTAGCAAAGTGATCCCAAGTAGAGTATGGAGGCCTTGCTGAGCTCAAGAGACAAAGTTGAGAATTTGAAGAGCCTGAGGTGTATGAAATTAATGAAGCAGAGTATCAGAGAATAGGATGTTACACAAATAATGAGCCCCAGAAATTTCAGTCTGGATCTCCTTGAGTAGTTGACTGAATTCTAAGCTGAGTGTGTGGGACTCTATCAGACTGGGGAAGAAACAAGAACCGAGGAATTGTAAACTAAACAATTACAACAGGTGGCTCAGTGCTGGAAGTTATTTGATTTTCAACTAGCCAGAATTGAGAGAACTGATTAAATATGTGAGGCATTCAGAATGAACTTGTAGTTAAAAATCTTTTTTTTTTTTTTTTTTGAGACAAAGTCTCACTCTGTTGCCCAGGCTGGAGTGCAGTGGTGCAATCTTGGCTCACTGCAACCTCCGCCTCCCAGGTTCAAGCAATTCTCTGCCTCAGCCTCCCAAACAGCTGGGTTACAGGTGCCTGCCACCACGCCTGGCTAATTTTTGTATTTTTAGTAGAGACGGGGCTTCACCATGTTGGCCAGGCTGGTCTTGAACTCCTGACCTTGTGATCCACCCACTGCAGGCTCCCAAAGTGCTGGGATTACAGGTGTGAGCCACTGTGCCCAGCCAAAAATCTTTTTTTATAAAAGAAAACTGAAGATTAATATGACTTCACTAGCACATTTTGTCAAGCATTTAAGAAAGAAATGGCACCAATTATTCATAATCTTTTCTAGACAATGGATGAAGAGGAAGCAATTCCTAACTCATTTTATGAGGTTAATATAACCATAATAGCAAATGAGATATGATTTTTCAAGAAAACTATAGATCAGTGTCCCTCATGAACATACACATAAAACTCCTCAACACAATATTATTAAATCAAATTCAGAAATATATGAACTTGATAATACATTATGATCAAGTAAAGTCTATCGCAGGAACACAAGGATGATTCAACATTTAAAAATCAATCAGTGCTGTTCACCATATCAACAGACAAAATAAAGGGTCAACTAAAAATTTCACAGGAGTTGATGTGTAGATATTTTGTTCCTTTTTGTGGCTCATTTTTTTTTTTTTCTGAAAATTGCCTTCTCAAGTTCTAGCTGTTCGAAGAGTTCTGAAATCTGTTCTTTTATACTTCAAGCTAATAAAATGTTTGGTTTTCTACTTGAGATATAACTACCCAACATTCTTGGGTTCTACACATTACTTTCATGGGAAAAAAAAAATAGAGTTGTATAAATGATCATTTACCCAGAGTGGTTCTGTGGTAGGCAGACTTTTGAGATGGCTCCCAAGATTCTTGCCCCATGGTGTATATGCCCTGCATTATTCCTGGGACTGAGAATATCATGGGATATCACTTCTGTGCTTAGGTTATGGCATATGGTATTGCTAACCTTAAGAAAGGATTATTAATGTTGGAGGACCTGACCTAATCAGATGAGCCTTTAAAAAAGACTAGAGCTTTTCCTAGAGAAAGAGATTTGAAGCATAGGTAGGATTTTATGTACAAAAAGTTCTCAATTGTTTGTCTTCAAAATGGAGCGATTTATGTGGAAGGGACATAAGGCAGCATTTAAAGCTCAAAGCAATTTTCAGATGACAACTAGCAAGAAATGGAATGGTATCACCATAGGCCTGAAGGAGGGCACTGACCTCCAGGAGAGAACATAGCTGGCTGATGCCTTGACATCAGTCCTGGGAAAACCTGAACAGAGAACCAGTCATGTTTTGCCCAGAACTCTGACCTCCAGAAATGTGAGATGATAAATGGATATTGTTTTTAGCTGCTACGTTTTTGGGAATTTGTTATATAACAATAGAAAACACATTCCCTTCTTTTTAAGACAACCCCCTTACATGGTTTTCTATTTAGTTTTCATAATTTTACAGTGCTTCAAATAATTTTTATATTTTGTCCAAACTTTTATTTTATTATTTTATTATCTTTGGGAAGATTGTTCCTATATAAAATACTCTGGCCTCATGAACAATGAACTCTGTTTCTGACTTAAAAGAGCTACTATGCAGATTATACTATGTATGTTATGCTTTCCTCGTATGTGCAGATTCTTTTTAACTATCAACATTTTCTATATTGTCTGGTTTCCAATATTGTCCAAAGCAGAATATTTATCTAAAATTCACTGACAACACTCTATATCACTGAAATCTTAGAGGAAGTCAGAGCGTACACCTGACTTCTAGGTATTAAGTTTCTGTTCTTTAATAGTTAAAAGCATAATTGCTGCACTGGATCTAAGATCATAAAGAAATCTTCTGTTTTAGCTATGATTCATATAAGAAGAAAAATAGGGATATTCTGACTATGCCAGAACAAGAATTTTTTCTAAACTTTTATTTTAAGTTCAGGGGTACATGTGCAGGTTTGTTATATAGGTAACCTGCATGTCGTGTGGATTTGATGTACAAATTATTTCATCACCTAAGTAATAAGCATAGCACCCAATAGGTAAGTTTTAGTACTTGTACAGGATCCTCACCTTCTTCCCAGTCTCAGCCCTCAAGTAGGCCCCAGTGTCTGGTGTTCCTCCCCCTTTTTTTTTGTCTATATGTACTCGATGTTTAGCTCCCACTTATAAGTGAGAACATGTGGTGTTTGCTTTTCTGTTCCTGTGTTAGTTTGCTTAGGATAATGGCCTCCAGATTTATCCATGTTGCTATAAAGGACATGATCTTATTATTTTTTATGGCTGCATGGTATTCCATGGTTTATATATACCACATTTTCTTTATCCAGTCTGCTGCTGATGGGCATGTAGGTTGATTCCATGTTTTTGCTTTTGTGAATAATGCTGCAGTGAACATATGTGTGCATGTGTCTCTATGGTAAAATGATTTATTTTCCTCTGGGTATATACCCAATAATGGGATTGATGGGTCAAATGGTAATTTTGTTTTAAGTTCTTTCGTAAATTGCCAAATTGCTTTCTGAAATAGCCAAACTAATTTACATTCCCGCCAGCAGGGCATAAGCAAAGAACAAGACAATTTTGAGATTTCTTCCAGATTATAGAATTTGTACACTTACAGCCAAAGAACAGGAAGAGAGACCAAGTGTGGGAGGCAAGGCCCAGCATAGAATCAGATCTGAAAATCAAAAAGGCAACACAACTTGCTTGACACATTAATATTTAATACATTTAATTGAATCAATGAAGCTGAAGTGGTAATATTGAGTGTATTTTAGTACTTGTACCTGGTATTTATACCTGCCTCCTCATGGAGCATGTAGAATGTTAACTAATAGTTATCATCAGTTTTTCCTTTTCAAACAGAAGGGATAGGAAAGGAGTGCTTACACAATAAAAGTCCATTACAGTAGCAGTGTACAGGGTACCCACTGTTCGACTCAGAGGGAAATGAACAGTTGTTTTTCTTATTTCTCTTCTGTTCCACGAGGTGTTTCTCAACTCATGTCCCATTATACACAAAGTATATAAGTCTTCAGATATTTTTGTTTGAAAGGGTGAGGGTTGGTGACATGTACACTGACAAGTCCTCCATGGTTATTTGACAGTGCTGCTGGTCAGAGTTCTCATTTGAGAAACCTTACTTTTCAGAGTTGTTTTCAGTCTATCAACGATCATCAAGTTGAGCAGTACTTCAGTGATGGTGAATTTCATATGTCAACTTGCCTGGGGTAAGAGATGCCCAGATAGCTGGTAAAATATTCTGGAGAAAGTTTTGTGAGACTGTATCCAGAAAAGATTAGAACTGGGGTCATTAGGCTGAATAAAGAAGATTTACCTCACCAATTTGGGCAGGCATCACTTCTTCCAATCCAGTGAGGACCTGAATAGAACACAAGGGTGAGGAAGAACAAACTTCCTTTCTGTTAGACTGAGACTTCCATCTTTTTTCTGTCCTTGAACATTGGTGCTCCTGGTGCTTGGATTTTCAGGTTTGGGCTAGGACTTACACCGTTGGCTTCCCTGGTTCTCAGGCCTTTGGGTTTGGACTGAAACACCACTGGCTTTCCTGAGCCTCCAGCTTACAGGTGCAAGATCATGAGACTCCTCAGTCTCTGTAATCATGTGAGCCATTTAATGCCTCATAGTAAATCGCTGATTATCAATCTGTGATATATATATATCCTATTCATTCAGTTTCTAAAGAGAACACTGAATAAAACAACTTCTGTTCATTTCAAATATTCCTCTTCTTTCTTGTTCTGTCCTTTCTCTCTTGTGTTATTAACCCTTCTGTTTTTGGTTACTTTCCTGCAGTCCCTGCCTTATTTTCCATAGAGAATGAGGAACTTGTTTTGTGAAAATTCAGGATCGTTTGCTTATATCTGAGTCAGATGATACTTCACTTGTTTTTCTTTCTTCTTGGGGAAATGGTTCTCAGAGCATCATTGAACAATAAAAATAGAAGGTCCATTCTTTTTTTTTTTTTTTTTTTGAGAGGGAGTCTCGCTCTGTTGCCTAGGTTGGAGTGCAGTAGCTCGATCTCGGCTCACTGCAACCTTCGCCTCTCGGGTCTCGGGTTCAAGGGATTCTCCTGCCTCAGCCTCCTGAGTAGCTGGGATTACAGGCGTGCGCCACCACACCCAGCTAATTTTTAGTAGAGATGGGGTTTCACCATGTTAGCCAGGATGGTCTCCATCTCCTGACCTCGTGATCTGCCCACCTTGGCCTCCCAAAGTGAGACGGTACATTCTTAATCAAAAATTAGATAAATTATTTTAGATAAAACCATGACATGCAAGGAAGAGTAAAATCATGAGATGCCAGAAAAACTTTGCTTTTGTAGCAGTCCAATCAACTGATCCCCAATCTTCTCATCTCTACATGTGCAGAAAGATGACACACTGGGAATGTGTGCCACAGCTTCTTAGCTATAAGTAAGAATGAGAAACACATTATGGATAACACTCAGAACACATTATGGGTAACATTCATAAGTGCAAACAGAGCACAATTACTATTATATTCTCCCTCTATTCCTCTATTTCTTTTCTTTCCTTTTTTTTTTTTTTTTTTTTTTAATAATTCTATCGACGCCGGGCGCAGTGGCTCACGCCTGTAATCCCAGCACTTTGGGAGGCCGAGGTGGGTGGATCACGAGGTCAGGAGATCGAGACCATCCTGGTTAACACAGTGAAACCCCGTCTCTACTAAAAATACAAAAAATTAGCCTGGCGTGGTGGCAGGTGCCTTTAGTCCCAGCTACTCGGGAATCTGAGGCAGAAGAATGGCGTGAACCGGGAGGCGGAGGTTGCAGTGAGCCGAGATTGTGCCACTGCACTCCAGCCTGGGTGACAAAGTGAGACTCCGTCTCAAAAACAAACAAACAAACAAAAAATATATATATAAAATTCTATAGAATAGCTCAATTATGATCTTCTTGTTGCCTCAGAGAAAACTGAAGCTAAGTCTAATTGATAATTAACAAGAGGCAGAGACAAACTTCAAACTCATGCATGTCTTATTACAGAAACTAACCTTGAAAACATTTCCCTGTTCCTAAAATTCAAGAAGCATGAACGCAAAAAATAAAACATCTTTCTTTTATTTCCATTAGTAGTGGAGAGCTGCTGCCTTACATAACCAACTTAATGATGGCCACATGTGATCAACGTATTGGGTAGTAAAAACTTTGAAATGGATGTGATTTCTATAGTAAAATATGTCTTGTGGATATATTAAAATTTTAACAAAATGTGTAAGATGAATATGCTTGAATTATTAGATTAGCTATATTAATCAATACAAGCCATTAAGAATACTTTGGTTATAAGTTACTTGTTTATAATCAGTAGTTTGGTCTAAACATTTAATTTTAATTACTATCACTAATCCCCATCCCATTTCAATTGAAATCATGAAAGAAATACCCCCCATAAAGAAGAAAATGTGCGTTGGTACTTGAAACAGGGAAGAATAACTTTTGTAAGCCAGTGAAATGAAACATTCTATTGTTAAAATATCTATACTGGGCAAGCAATCTACAGATTCAATGCAAAATACCAATGACATTCTTCACAGAAATTAAAGAAAAATACTAACATTTGTATGGGACCACAAAAGATCCTGAATAGCTAATGCAGTCCTGAACAACAACAACAACAACAACAACAAAACAAAAAACAAAACTGGAGGCAGCACACTACTGATGTCAAATTGTAATACAAAGCAATAGTAACCAAAACCAAACTGGTACTGGTGTAAAAACAGACACATAGACACATATAACAGGACAGAGAATGCAGAAATAAAGCCAAGCACTTTACAGACAATTCAATTCAACGAAAGTACCAAGAACATACAGCAGGGAAAGGACAGTCTCTTTAATAAATGGTGCTGAGAAAACTGGATATCCATATGCAGAAGAATAAAACTAGAACGTCATCTTCTATCACATGCAAAAATTGACACAAAATGGATTAAAGCCTTAAAAGCAAGATTTGAAATTATGAAATCATTAGAAGAAACACTGGGGAAACCTTATAGGACATTGACCCAGGCAAAGATGTTTTGTGCTAAGACCTCAAAAGCACAGACAAGAAAAGTAAAAATAGACAAATGAGATTACATCAAATTAAAAAGTTTCTGCACAGCAAAGAAACAATTGACAAAGTGAAGAGACAACCTACAGAATGGTAGAAAATATTTGTAAACTATTCATCTGACAAGTATTAAGCAGATTATATAAGGAACTTAACTTTGTAGCAAAAAGCCAAATAACCCTATTAAAAATGAGCAAAAGACCTGAATAGACATTTCTCAAAAGAAGACATACAAATGTCCAACAGGCATATGAAAAAGATCAGCATCACTAATCATCAGCGAAATATAAATCAAAACCGCAATGAGATATCGACACACCCAGGTTAGAATGGCTGTTATTAAAAAGACAAAAAGTAACAGATGCTGACTAGGATGTGGAGAAAATAAAACTCAGCTCTGCTGATGGAAATGTAAATTAGTACAGCCATTATGGAAAACAGTATGGAGATTCCTCAAGACACTAAAAACAGAACTAGCATGTAATCAGCAATCCCACTGCTGGGTATATATCCAAAAGAAAAGAAATCAATATATTGAAGCTTCAGTTTCTTGAAGTACTATTTGCAATAGCAAAGATATGAAATCAACCTAAGTGTCCATCAGAAGATGAACTGATAAAGATAATGTGGTATATATACCTATTGGAATATTATTCAGCCATATAATAGAATGATATTCTGTCATTTGCAGCAATATGGATGAAACTGGAAGTCATTATGTTAAGTGAAATAAGCCAGGCAAAGAAAGACAAATATTGCATGTAGTCACTTACATGTGGAAGCAAAAAAAGAAGACCTTAAGGTAGAAAGAAGAATGATGGGGGAAGCGAAAGAGTGAGGGGGAGATGAAGAGAAGTTGGTTAATGGATACAAATATACAGATAGAAGAAATAACGTCTAGTGTTTGACAGTACAATAGGGAAAATATAGGTAACAATAATTTACAGCATAGTTCAAAGGAGCTAGAAAAGAAGAATTGTAACGTTCTCAACTCTAAAGGTAAATGTGTGAGGTGATGGGTACCCAATGACCCTGATTTAATTATTACACATTGTACACATTTATGATAAATCACATGTGCCCTCAAAATATGTACAATTTTGATATATCAAAGAAAATTCTGATTTTTTTCTTGAAAGATATCCTCAAGTGAATCTATATTTGAGAAAGAAATACTGAGCTGTAATTCATTATAATGAAAACACATGGGGACTAGAGAAAAAACAAGTTATTTCAAGCTCATCTGGTTTTGTGTGCTACAAACTATCGTTTAGATCAAGCTATTGGGCATTATGCAATTGCATATCTTGACTGTATAAGAACTAGATATGTGACTGTGGAAAGCATACCTGGAAGTAATATATTGAGAATATAAAATATTGATCCCTAGCAACCTGGGTACCACGTAAAGCAACAGCACTTTCACAGTGGTTTCCTGATAAGGACAAAAATGTCAATGAAGGAAGCAGGAAAGTTCCTTAGCTATCACCAAGGTTCCTTTGAAACAAGCAAAAAAATTATGTGCAGATCAATGAAGTTACTTTTCTTATGCCAAAGGCTAATGTAGTAACAAATTGCCAAACTGAAGCTATAGGAAACCTAAAAGAGATGGATAAAACAGAAGAGTTAAAGCAAATTTCACTGGAACAAACAAGAAGCAATAGAAAATTAGTTAATGGTTGTGATTCTAATAGTTAAGAGTTTTCATTCATTTACTGATTTTCTTCATTTGTTAGCAAATACTTAATGAATTACCAATTGATACCAGAAGCTATTCTAGACACTGAGAGTGCAGCAATAAACAAAGCAACAGAGTTCTACTGCAAAGAGTGTTAAGTAGGCAATAGACAAATTTATAAGATGCTTTGTTGCTACAAAGAAGAGTAAGAAAATGAAGAAGTGGGTGCTCTATTTGGGAAGATATATTAAAGGAATCTTGATTATTTTTTAATGAAAAACTGAATTGCCAAATTCAAAACAGAAAAGAAGGGGTGAACTGCAGGTGAGATACTAAAAACACAAAAACAAACAAAAAAATTGAGTTAGAAGACCAGCCTGAAATAATTGTGTGTGTGTATGTACACACATGTGCTAAATTCAAGGAGAAGATGTAATAGAAAATAATATTACTAAGTTAAAGATAACGTGGACTATCTTGATGGAATGAGCTCACTAATTATAAATGCAATTAATGAAACTAACCCCACTTCAAGATTTAGTGAAAGGTCATTTTCATTGTGTATTTACTATTTGCTGAGCACTAGTCTAAGTTCTTTGTGCTCTCTCTCTCTCTTTCTCTTCCTTTTTTCCCTCTACTTCTTTTCTTTCTGTTATTTTTTTCTTCAAATAATTGTATAGAATAGCCCAATTATGATCTTCCCTTTGCCTCAGAAAAAACTGAAACTTAGCATAATTGATAATTAACAAGAGGCAGAGACAAGCTTCAGACTCATGCATGCCTTATTATAGAAATTAAGCTTGTAAACATTTCCCTGTTCCTAAAATTCAATAAGCATGAACACACACACAAAATAAGTTTATCTACAAAGGAACAAAGCAAGTAAACTAGACCTTATTCCATGAAATGTGGGAACCAGAAGGGGATATGCTCACAATTATTTCTAGAAAGATGAGATTGAGGAAAATTTTAAATTGAGAAGTCCATTTGGAAAAGTTATCAGTGATATGTAAAGTCAATAGAAATACAACAAAGATATAGAAGGACTATAAAAATATGCCTCCACAGTGTCATTTTTGATTTATCAGAAGTATGTCAGGTGACTCAGAAATGAGTACAAGGTAGAAAATAAGAATGAGAAAGAGATGACATAAAATAAATGTCAGTATAAGGAAAGCAGAAAACTTTGCTCTTAGGCTTAGTAGGAACATTAAATTTAAAGTGAATGTCAAAAATAATTGATGAGAGAATACTGAGATAGTTAAAATTAATAAAAATATAAATATCAAAGATATCTGAAAGCTAGGAAACACTGAATGGTAAGATGAGACAGAGAAAGCAACACATTCTGAAATGCTGAAATGTTCAAGCTACAGAACTGGTTTTAATAGGTATGCTTCCTTTTTTACTTTAATAGAGAAATATGTTTATATAGTCATAATTTAAAGGTAATAACAAGAAAAAAAAGTGCAGGTATTTAGTCCCTAGATAAAATGGAATCAACTGGGCCCAGCGCGGTGGCGCATGCCTGTAATCCCAGCACTTTGGGAGGCTGAGGCGGGTGGATCACGAGGTCAGGAGATCGAGACCATCCTGGCTAACACGGTGAAACCCTGTCTACCAAATATGCAAAAAATTAGCCGGGCGTGGTAGCGGGCGCCTGTAGTCCCAGCTACTCGGGATGCTGAGGCAGGAGAATGGCATGAACACGGGAGGCGGAGCTTGCAGTGAGCAGAGATCGCGCCACTGCACTCCAGACTGGGTGACAGAGCGAGACTCCATCTCAAAAAAAAAAAAAAAAAAAAAATCAACTGACAGCATGAGCAAGATATCAAAATTTAGAACTCATAAAATGGATGAAAATTGAACTCAATTAGGAATGAGAAAATATTAAACGTAAAATACAATGATGATATTATTATTATTATTTTGTTATCAAATAGACACAGGGTCTCGCTCTGTTGCCCAGGCTGGAGTGCAGTGACACAATCACGGCTCACTGCAGACCTGATGTTCTGGGCTAAAGAAATCCTTCTGCCTCAGCCTCTGAAGTAGTGGGTGGTATTATAAATCGCAGAAAAAAAATGTAATTTGGTACAGGACAAATTAAAATCTGCAAAGAGAAGAAAATAACTTCAATCTAAAACAAAAGTAGTTTAAAAAAACTCACAAAGAAGAAATACAAATTTATAATAAACTACAAATATTTTAAATCTCACCAGTAATCAATAAAAAGGCAAACTGAGGCAAATTCTTAATTATAATTAAAATTAGCATGGCTATTTTGGTGTTAGAGCATATGAAAACTTACCTGTTATCAATAAAGACATAAAATTGTGCACACTTTCAGGAGTTAATAGTTTTATAAAAATAACTTAAAAAATAGTTATCAAAGTAACTTTTTTCTGTTTTGTCTTACAAAAATATTGAGACATGCTTAGAATGTTTTATGTACTAATACTTTTCTTTTTAAAGTAGTTGTAGTGTTGAAAAATGGGCAACAACCAAAGTATTTAACCATTGGCAATGTTTAGTTAAGTTTTGAGATAGGAAAATGTTAATGTATAACATAACCATTAAAGTCAACTTTTGTAGGATATCTTATACTGTTGGAAAAGAGATTATTATAAGTAATATTAAGAAAAGAGGTACAATCTAAATATATATAGATCATAATACTAATTTTAGATCAGATACTTTTATAGTTACACATATGTATACAATTGCTGAAAATAGCTTATCTCTTTGTGCTAAGAAATTGACAATTCTATTTTCTTCTTACTTTTCTTTTTG
The DNA here is from genome assembly GCF_000001405.40 of Homo sapiens. NCBI lineage: Eukaryota > Metazoa > Chordata > Mammalia > Primates > Hominidae > Homo > Homo sapiens. Next base: position 31,394,633 of record NC_000009.12, on the reverse strand, counting down.
CTGAGGAGGTAAAGCCAAAAGCAACATTTATATTCAAATGTTGTAATAAAAACTGTTATTAATCTAAAAATAAATGTGTTGACCACAGTAGATATCAAAATAATAAAAGTGACTCTCACCAAACATGTCATCAGATATGAAGACCATAGTGCCTTAATTTTCAGGGTCTTCTGCAACTCATGAGAAATCACCTTCTCTAACTGATACAGAAACTACAGTAGAGTTCACAGTGTGGTAATTGTAACACATAATCCCTGAAACTGGAACAGAGCCATGCTCTTGTAAATAATTTGACCTAAGTCCAAGAAAATGTACTTGCTAGCATCAAGGGTTTTCTAAATAAAGCTACTTGGAAGACTCCTGGGATTCCCCTGAAATGAGCCACTTGACATAATTTTGCCCTATATCAGTAGAATAGCTGTAAACTAAAGATTTTGAAACATGTGATAGCTTTTAAGTTCTTAGCACGTTTATTAGAAGATGTGGCTATGCAGCTGTTATGGGTATTTAAGGAGCTGGGGAACATCCAAATTACAGCACCCTTCAACGGAATGAATTATTAAGAGGCTGTAACAACAATAGCAGTTGTTAGAGCAATGCCCTTTCTCCATAGATCTCACAAAGAGCCTAGTTAATATTACTGGGCCTCTGAAATGAGTAGGTAGCAAGGAAGATTTCTCCACTTACATGTAATAAAAGTATGTCTCAAGAAGCACCAATCACAATCACAAAATTATGTAGAAGGCAAACTAAAAATATTTGTCAACTATCAATGCATAGCAGGAAAAGCTTATTGATTGTTACTGCATATAGAGGAGAGTGGTGACTGCCAACAGTGAACATAGGTTCACAAAGAGCTAGGTTTATTGCAATAATATGCACTTTCTGGATTTAATGTCCTTAATGGCAGCAACTAGGCTGTTATATCAGAGAAATACTGAAAAAAAAAAAAAAGGTTTGGATTTCAGAAAGATATCTGACAAAAATGCTAAGTAAGTCCTTGTGAAAAAATTATTTGAGACTTATTTGTGAGATGTTTTGCAGAGAATTATAACATGACTAAATGATCTTATCTAGTGAACTGCTTTAAGAATGGAAGTCAACCACAATGGACAGGAAAGAATCTAGTTTTATATGGCAGGATTTGATTGCTTGTTGCATCACATGTTAAGCATTTTTTATCATTACTGTGAATGAGGGCTTACATGACACAACAAATTGTCAGATGACAGGAAACTAGAGTGATAAAGGCCACATGAATTGAGATATTCAGGATCTAAGATAACCTCAGGGGGCTGTAACATTAGAGGAAGTAAAACCAGATAAATTGCATTATGAATGAATATAAAAAGAAGCACATTTATTAACAAAAAAGTCTGAAGAGGTAAAGCATTGGCTAAATTTTAATGCAACTGACTTCAAATCTATTATAAGCCCAAAGTAAAGTGTGGCAATCGATACATAATCAAGTAGAATCATAGATTGCCTTAATAGAATAAAATAATGACTTTGATGGGTTTAATAACAAAGCAACTACTAATAATTTAAGTATGTTTTTATTCATTTATTGCTTTCATATTTAGAATAGTGCTGTGGATTAGGGAATACAATATAGCAAGATGAGTTAGAGATTTCTTTGGATTTCTTTGTCACTCTATGTTTATCTCACCTTTTGGGATGTACACCTTTTCGGTGGATAGGCCCTGTTCTCTTTATGTCAAGAGAATGTAGGATGATTTGTGAATAATTCACATTATGAAAGTATGTTCTTGACATCACACTAAGAGCAGGATTTTCACTCAAGTAAGTGGAGTAAAAGTGATGCAATGGGAAAATAAATGGTGGGTTTCCTGAAGGAAATTAACCCGTATGGATACAAAGCAGTGTTGGATTTTAGGTGATACTTGCTCCAGCCCAGACAATTATGTCAAACCATTTGAGCAGGATGCAGAACTCTAGAAACTATACATTTAAAAGATAATTTACAAAACAGGTGTTATTGAGAGACTGGGCTCTCAATAAATTTGAAAAACATATTTCTTGGAAAACAAAATGATTATTTATGTGAAAAAACTTTTTAATATACAAAGGGATTAAACCTTCCACTAATTTCCCATTTCAATGAAGCAATTAGGATGTTTATCGTAGAAGGGAAAACAGTAAGGGCCAGGCGCGGTGGCTCACGCCTGTAATCCCGGCACTTTGGGAAGCCGAGGTGGGTGGATCACGAGGTGAGGAGACCGTCCCGGCTAACACGGTGAAACCCTGTCTCTACTAAAAATACAAAAATTAGCCGGGCGTGGTAGCGGGCGCCTGTAGTCCCAGCTACTCAGGAGGCTGAGGCAGGAGAATGGCGTGAACCCGGGAGGCGGAGCTTGCAGTGAGCCGAGATCACGTCACTGCACTACAGCTTGGGCGACAGAGTGAGACCCCGTCTAAAAAAAACAAAACAAAAAAACAAAACAACAGCAACAAAAAAACCAGTAGCTCACATGACAAAATATTTCTGATACAAAATATTTTTCAGTACATAGAATGACCAACAAGAAGCTGTACAATCTGTCCCCATGTACATCTCTTCCTCCTTTCCTAATAATTCCTTCACCCTTACTCGATTCCAGCCACCAGAGTTTCTTGAACCCAGACTTGGCAGTATCTTTTAGCATTTTGTGGAGTACTCTTCTTTCAGAATGCCTTATGGTTATCTTCACCATTTTAGGTTGGAACTCATATATGTCTCCTCCTTAAGAGAAAATTTTCAAATTGCTTCAACCTAAAATTCCTGACTCCTCTCCCCACCTTAAGTTTTTTTCTTCTTTGTCCTCAACAGCACCCGGCACATGCTATGTTGTTCTTATTGTGTTTTACATCAGCCTCCCCTAACTAGAAGATAAGCCCTTAGAGCATGGAGAGTTTTGTCTGTTTTGTTCACTATTGTGTTTTCAGTGTCATAATAGTTCTCTCCCACATAATATACAGCTAATACATATCTTTTATGAAATATAACCTATACATTATTTTTAAAATCTGTATAGTAAATACAACTGTTCCATTTTGGTAGTTTCATTTTAGGGAAAAAGGCTGTTTTTGTTTTTGCTTTTTTGAATATTAATATTAAAGGATAAGTCAAACATGCTATATTTTATAAACAGACATTATATGAACAGCTGCTAAATTAAAATATATTGGCCTTTACAATATTTTCAATATAATGAAAGCTCATTCAAAGACAGCTAAGTCTACATTAATATCCATAAATTACGAATTATTTTGGAAACTGTGATGTTTACATTCTTGTATTACAAAATAGAATGATAACTATAAAATAAAACAACAGGAGAGAATAAATGAAGATCTTTAATTTGCAGTCAGCACTAAATCCCCAACACTAAATGCGAATTGGAACCTCATGAATAGGGAAAAACTGCTAGAACAAAATGCCAGAAATTGATTTCAGAAAGCAGTTAGTTGCCTTCCCCCTGTACCTCTAAACTGTTGATTTTTTTCTCCTCTCTCTCTAATACTGCATTTCAGAAATATTACAATGTGGTTAGAACTACAGAGAATGAAATGAAGAGTGGAACAGGTATCATAATTTTGTTGTTGTTAGAACTCTCCTTTTACTGTTTTTAGCTCTTCCTTCTCCGTTTCTGCCTCTTGCTCAGTATGTTTTACTTCCTGTCATATGTCTTTCCCAGATTCTTGATGAACCATTTCTCTCAGCTCTCAGCAGTGCCTTTGATACACAAAAGTGAAATTGTTTAGGAAGATGGATGCATTCAGTGTGAGAAACGGCAAGCAGCCAAAGAGCTGTCCCTGAGTGACAGATAGTTGACAGAAGGCCGTGGACCTTTTATAGAAAAAGACAGGAAGCTAGGATTCTGTAATCAACTATACAAGAGGCAAGAAAGATGGTCCAGAGTTTCGATATAACTGAAAGCCTTCTGTGTGGAAGGTCACGAATCTCAACCTTCTGAAGATTTACCAATCATCAAACTCTAGAAAGACACCTCTTTGATTACTTGATCTGTATTTCCCTTTTCTCTGACTCAAAGTCACACAGCTCTCATGACTAGCAAGTAATTTGCCTTCCCCACTTCTAAATTGTCACTGGTTAGCTGCCATGGGCAGAAGCACCTGCTGTGACTGTCTTGCACTGGAGAGACTTTTCTCTGGTATTTACATCAGTCCATTGAGCCATTTCTGCTTTGTAGGTCCCACAAAACAGCTTGATATATTTCCCTCTTCTGGGAACGTACAACTTTTGCAAAGTTAACTGCCAAAGGAAGGTAGGTGGTTGGTTGGAGGGATGAGTATTATGTGTCATTTCCTCAACTCATAAAGTCGGAATAAGTCAGAGATTCTAGGGTCAGGGTGAACCTTATTTTTAACTGCATAGCTCACCTGCAATGATCTGCAAATGGCTGTTATCTGGGAAATCTAATCAGAAAAAAAGAAATAAAGAGAAAGAGAGACAGAGATAAAAGCAGGCATATAAGCATTATATATGTCAGAAAATTATAATTTTCATGTAGAAAATTAAGGAAAGATAAGATGCTTGAGGGTGATGCTAATTAATCTGACGTAGCTTTCTCTGACAAGGTGATATTCAATGAGAACTCTCAGTTCCTATCCTATATTATGCCCTGCTAATATGTAAGCTCAGTAAGGGTAAGGATTTATTTTTATTCATACTCTAAATTAATTTCCTAGAACAGTGCTGACACATATTGATGATCAAAAGTATTTGTTTACACTTTTGGTAAATTAAATAATATTATCTTCAGGCTTATCTTTCTAAAAGAGCATGCATTTTTGTAATGTACATTAGAATATTTCTATTCAAATTTTAATTATATGATCTCTTTCTAAAAGTTTAATCCTTAGCCATCAGATATGGCTAACTAGAGCTATTCATTACTCCAAAATTTCTGTCTTTTTGTTAAAAACAAAAAGAAATCCACAGAAATGACAAATCGATACAATGGAAGTAGAGACAGTCCTTTGCCCTTTCAGATCAACTCATTTTATCTGGTGTCCTTATCTTCCTTTTGGGGAGTGTCTGTTTTGGTGCTCATAATGTAGCATAAAATTCTCTTTTTGATGAATTTCATTTTTCTCTTGAAAGGAAAGAGTGCCATGGATAGCACAGTCAAACCAACCTTTTTGGCATCTACTTGTCAGATATGTGACTTTCATACAAAATAAGAAAGCAAGAATAAAGGCAAGAGGGCATTTGAGACCTTTAGAGATTAATAGGTTTTAGAATCTTTCCCCTCCAAGTTATTAATGCAAATTGACCTAGTTCAAAGTGGTCAACGTGAAGCATTTCTGTGGTATGTATTTAAAATGCTATTTCGGTTTCAAGAAGTAGTGTCTAAAAGCCTGGAGAAAAGATGAGTAAGGCAATAAGAAGGTCAGCAGAAGACATTCAAGGTTATGGAACTGGAGTACGTTTTCAAGCCATGGACAGTGCTGAATTACTTTGTTTTCCTAAGTATTTAAATAAAACTAATCTACATATGTTTGCAGATGACTTATATTCACATTGTAGGCAAAATTTATGAAGTGAATATGGGATCATTTATAACCTTCATCTTATTTCTTAAAATTGATGCCTTGCTATAGATAATAGGTTTAAAGAAGTAGAACATTTTCTTTTTTGAGGTTAGCACAATAGAAATTAAAATAGGAAAAATAATAAGATGCTGTTTATATTTTGTATAGCAAGAATGCATGTGATTTTTGTGACTCACCTCTGGGGGTTGTCCAGATTAGGTCACGCAGTATCTAAGTTTCTGGGAGGAGGCAAGAAGCTATTATCAGCATGATTATACAAATGTAGCTTGACAGCAACTTTTAATTCTCATTCTTTCATTGCTTTAGGGGACAGCAAGCATAAATATATCACCAATAATTGTGATTTAGTTGAAACATTCTATAGAATTTAGGCACAGAAAAATGGCATGTCAAGTGCGTAGTTTGTAAACACGTATGTGCATGCATATACCTGGGAACTCACAGGTGTTTTTACTTTGACATATGGCATTAATTTAGCTGACCTTTTCTTACTTTCTGAAGAGTAAACTTACATAATTTCAGATATGTGGAACAAATAACAAGATAAAATATTTATGATTTTTCTTTTTTTAATGTTTTAAATATATTTTTGCTATTCTGATTTCTGGTGTTCATACAGAGTTTGTAATTTAATAAACATTCACTCATTGCTTATTTTTCCTTTATTACTTAATTTTTAGGACATGCAAAGGGTTTATAAATTATATACATATACACGATATATGTAACTTTATTATTTATTTATTACATGTTACCTATTACATAGTTATTAATTACATTTTATAGTGTTTCTTCCTAGAGCACTAGTTTTCAAATGCGTAATACATTTAAATAACTAATCTTAAATTCAAAACATGCTTAGAATTTCAATTTGTAAAATACAGAACATAGCACAGGCCCCTCAGCTTTTCAGTATATTATACCTTTTTACTAGGGACAGGTAGGTATGGATTAAAACAGAAAAAATAATATTGATGTTAGATCCTATTTTAAAAGTGGGCATTCTAAAGTAGAATCCACCTCTTCTATATCATTAAATAAATATGTAAATTAAGTTAACTAGTACGTATCAAACTCAATATTTTTGTTCTTTTAGTACAGTTTACACATATAAATATGCTGTCATAAAGTAAGTTTTAGAAAAAAAGATACAAGTTTTCCTAAATGAAAAAAATAAAGAGTAAACACACAGTGAAAGACTTTATAGCAAAAAACCCCACATCTCTTTGCCCCATAAGAAAAGCCTTTATTTTAATGAGCACCTAAAAAAAGAGAGGTTCAGAAAGGTTAAAAATAAAAGGCACATAGAAAACCATTGTGGCCATTATCTTATCAGTCTTATATAAATCAAGCCAAAACAGTATTATGTTATATAAAGAAGACCTTACAACGCTAAAGACAAAGAAAAATTGTGGATATCTATTTACTAAAAATACAGCAATATTTCCATTAAAAAGCTAATAAGATGTAAGAAGAATCAGAAAGAATCTCAACAATTATAAGATAATTTAGGACATAGCTTGCAAAGTGAGACAGAATCAGTGTTAGGGATGAAAGATACAGTGACACATTATCAATAAGTTAGATCTTATAGAAGCACATGGAACATTCACAAACACTGGCGATACATTAAGCTACAAAGAAAATCTCCACAAATTCCAAAATACAGAAATGGTACAAAAATCCTCTGAACACAATGCAGTAAAATTAGAATCTGTTACCAAATAAAACACTTATGCAATAAGAATTCAAAAATAAATTAATATCAAGCACAAAGAGATCAAGATTCTAGAGAAATTGGAATCAAAAAAGTGGAGAGAAGAAACTATTATAAAAACAGAATTCAGTGAGTTGTTGAGGAAAAAATAGAACTAATAAACAGATGAGCTGAAGTATTTTAAAAGTAATAAAATAATAAACCAGTTATATAAACAAAGGGGAGATAACAGGTACATAAAACCTAAGTTCTTCCTAGCTAAACCTAAGTTCTTGGGAGGCTGAGGTGAGACGGTCACTTGAGCCCCTGAGTCTAAGGCTCTAGTAGACTATGACTGTGCCTGTGATGAGCTACTGCACTCAAGCTTGGGCAGCAAAATGAGAACGATGTATCTCTAAAATTAAGTAAAAAGACTTAAGGAGGAAATGGCCATCAAAAGCAAGGATATTACAAAAATCACAAGAGATTTTGTGCACAATTGCATGCAAATATATTTTAAAATCTAGAGTAGGTGCATAATTTTCTAGATAAATAAAATATCCCCAAGCTCATTGCAGACAGAGTTTACACAGAATAATTTTCATAGAAGAAACAGAAAAAGGTGACAAAAAGCTCTCTTCTGCACGAAAGCACCAGGCCCAGAGAACTTCACATGCATATTCACAAGTATATTAAAAGATTTTATTATTCAAATGCTACTTAAACTATTAGAAGGCATTGAAAAATAAATAAAATTCCAAAAATTTTATATAGTAGATATAACTACGATACTAAAAGCTGAAAAGGTTTAAATACAAAAAAGAAAACTGTTGATCAACCTCACTTCTAAAGAACAAAGTAAACATTTGAACTATCATTTAATTAGAAAGAATGCAAGGGGATATTAAGACTGTAATACATTATGTTTTACATTATGTATAAAATTATAAAACATTATTCAACATCAGTAAGTCTGTTGACAGATCTTATGTTAATTGATATAATAGAAAAATCTCATGATTATCTTACTAGAAGCTGAAAGGGAATTTGACATAATTTAAAATCCATTCCTTAATGTACTCAATAAAATAGAAACAGATATAGAAACATGGATTTTTTTATGTGATAAAATATAAGCCAGCTGGTTCGAAACTCTATACTTTATAGAAATTATTAGATGTCTGCATCTAATTCCAAGAGAAGGGTGACTTATGTTACTGCTACTACTTTATATGTTTTCAAAGTGTTAGCCAATGAAATTAGGCAAAGGAAAACTATTAGAGTCATAAAACTTGAAGAGAAAAAGAGCAAATTTGTATTTATTTTATTAGGGAGAAAGAGATAACCCAGACTATTGGATTTATTTTTCCCTTTGACAACATGGATATGAGTATTAATAACATTTGGTGTTATCAATACTGAGGTACCAATATCATGGTACACTGAACGATCTGAAAGGGATAGAGGATAAGAGAATATCATATTTAGCCATGTGCTCTACTGTGATAGCAACCTTGGCCTTTATCCATCATTGTACCTAACTTGCATAACTGCGTGGCTTTCTTGTTGCTATCAAGTGGATTTTATTCACTTGGTAGCATTTAGTTTAAACGCATATCATTTATTTGTTTTAGAATTGCCAATTTACTCATGGATACTGAGACATATTGGAAGACTGGTTATAGTCTTGGATATTTCTTGAACATATTTGTTCCCATTTTCTATATATCTTATATTTCCAATTTTCCCTGCCCTGTGATGAAACTGACTCTTTTCATTCTGTGTAGAGATTTGATCATGAAGAGAAACACTGTGGGCAAGTAAAAACATCCTAGTAAAGTGCTTAAATCATTTTAAAAAGAGGTTAGAGCTATAGTTCACCATGTGCCCTTTCCTTTCTCTTTCCTTCATGTCTTTGTTTCATTGTCTATGAAATTATCCTCAGTCTCATACTGACACTGTTTATGTGGGTTGAATAAAAATAATATTGACATTATGAAATGGAAAGCTCTATGTAAATGAGATGCATTATTTTTACAAAAGAATATTTTGGAAAAATTGGAACATAACCACTTAAGGGGTGGAACATAGCAGCTGTTGAGTAGTACACTTAGGGAACTACAATTTGGATGACAGTGCCAGGATCTGCTGTCTAGTTTTATTTTTCAAAATGAAATTACTGGGAGAATTTAGCTCTGCAGCAAAGTACAATTATCTTAATATGAAAAGGCCAGAGAAGAAGGGTTAATAACCTCATCTCTTTCAGGGTGTTGATTTTAATTTGATACCAAAAAATGAGCTGATTTACAAGTTACCAAAATGGAACACAGATTAATAATACTTGAGTTTTTCAGTGACCAAATCCTCCTCCTTATTCTTAGAGCCCACAGTTATATTGTTGTCTCTATCTTCCTATAGGGAGAACCTAAACCATTTATACTATCAGACAAAGACTGATCAGATTATCAAAGCCCATAATCTTATAAAAATTAGTTGACAAATATAATAAACTTCAGAAAAATAGCAAATATACAATGTAAGTGGATGATTGTCATTATCTCTTTTTTCCAATCTAGATAAATTTATATAGCATTGGGTAGATATTGTCTGTCTTTGTTCCAGTACCCCAATATCAATTCCATCCATGTTAAGATACAGAAGAGATCAAGTGGAAATCAACTTTGAGATGTAAACTAGATAAATTCTACTAGAAATAAACTTTATTATAAAGCAGGTCTGATTGAGTTAAATGCTTAACATTTATAGTTACAATATCTTTAATTGTATTACCTATGGAATAATTGTTAATATTGTTCAATTATAGCCTTAACCTGGTACCATGGTCCTCCTTTTTATAGCAAATTGATCATTTTTCTACATAACATAATCGTGTATACATTTAAAAAATATATCTTGTATAACAGTCCAATTACATTATTTATTGGACAGGAAAGCAATAATTAATGTCATTTGAATATGTCATTTTACTTTAGAACAATGATGTGAATATGAGTCTCATATGTCTTCCAAGTTTGAAAAAAAAGCTATCTATCTGTGTATAATCTCTAGGTCATATACATATATATACACATATATGTGTGTATATACGTATATATACGTATATACACACATATATGTGTATATATGTATATATATGTATATACACATATATGTATATGTATACATATGCATATGTGTATGTGTATACACATAACATATAGGTGTATGTGTATACACATAACATATAGGTGTATATATATGTATGTGTATGTGTATACACATAACATATATGTGTATATATATGTATGTGTATGTATATGTATATATATTTTTATTTTAATCAGGTAGTTGCACTACCTGATTCTCATGGTTGCATGTGCCATGTACCTAACATGTAATTCTTAGTCCCCTTTCCTGCCATAGCCAACCTTGAGGCCCAGGCTGATTGGGTTGTAGGATAACCTGGTTGTGCCCATGTCAGCCTAATTTCAGAGTGGCCACAGCACACAAAGCTCCTGAAACTGATGTTTCACATGTAGTGTGAATAAGAAATTGAGCTTTTTAAGTCAAATTCACTGAAAGTGGGGTTGTTGTTAACCACTACAAATTAGTTCATAGTTGCTCTTTACACTTCTGGGATAGTAATGAAATTGAACCTATGTAAACACAAGTTAAAAGGTAAGAGAAGACATAGTCAGAATTGTAAACACACAACATAACTGTAACAAAGAGAACATAATGACTCTTTTAATAGTTAATATAATTAATGGTCAATCTGTTTTACCAGAAAAAACAATAATAAATATCTAAATGACCTTTGTAATAAACAGAAATATCCTGAGATTCCAATTAGGTACTTCATTTTAATTCACTTTTAAAAATTTACAAGAGAATTTTATAAGGATTTCTATTGCCCATCTTACTAAATACATATGTGCCAAGGAAACAGAAGGATCATTAAAATTTTCAAGACACCAGTAAATTTAGCACAGTTCTAGTCATGAACAGGACGGAGCAAGGGTTGAAATATTGGGCACTCACATTCTTTGTTTCATATATCTGAAACACATTTATTTTAATAGGATATATCTGTTTTTGTATATACAAGAAAAAATAAAGGCTAAAACAAAAGGATTCCATAGAAACATTATTCAAAATTTATTTTTACATAACCAAATTTTTAAATTGCATTTTGCTATCCACAGCAAAAGGTTGAAAGAAAAGACTTGGAACCAACCCAAATGCCCATCAGTGATAGACTGGATAAAGAAAGTGTGGCAAATACACACCATGGAATGCTATGCAGCCATACAAAAGGATGAATTCATGTCCTTTGCAGGGACATGGATGAAGCTGGAAACCATCATTCTCAGCAAACTAACACAGGAACAGAAAACCAAACACCACATGTTCTCACTCATAAGTGGGAGTTGAACAATGAGAACACATGGACACAGGGTGTGGGAGCATCACACACCAGGGCCTGTTGGGGGATGGGGGGCTAGGGGAGGGATAGCATTAGGAGAACTACCTAATGCAGTTGACTGGATAATGGGTGCAGCAAACCACCATGCGATGTGTATATCTATGTACCAAACCTGCACATTCTGCACATGTATCCCCAAACTTATAGTATAATCGTTAAAAAAAGAACTGAAACTACAAAAAAAAATCTTAGATGCTTTTAAATCCAAGATGTGGAGATTAAAATCTTAATGTAATTAGCTTTCAAATTACTGATATTCTAATCAACAAAGACCCAGCTTTGTACTCCCATTTTCTAATGAAAATTCAGCCAATAATTTCAGCATATTTAGGAATGAAGTGGTTTCTGTGACATGAATAAATTCATCCTACCCCAGATGATACATACAATTGAGATTAATAAGACAATCTGTAAGAAGAATATCTTGGATTTATTTATTTTTATCAGCACAATTCCCTTATTACAAAAATGTCACAAATAATTAGCACACTGTCAAGGTCCAATCAGGAGATACTCCTCATGGCCCTGGCAGGTCTTAAGCAGTATGACTACTTAGTTTGATACTCGAATGGAGTTCTTCCTTAAACAAGCGAAATCAATGAAACTATCAGAAGTCTGGAAAGATATGAGAAAAAGGAATAATGCCATGACAAGTGTGTCTCTACACTGCGCTTAGTACTCTGCAGCACTTCTGAAATATGAGCAACACAGTTTCCAGCATGAACCTCACAGTTCTCCATATGCCCAGGAATTTTGGCTACTTACTTCTTATCCCAAAGGCACCCCGTGTGAGGCACTAGAAAAAAAAATGGTTAAAATTATTATCTTATTTTAATAGTACTTCATTTGACATTCTCTTTACATAAATTATACCATTAAGTAAGAGGAGAGTCAGATTTATTGTAAAACTAATGGAACTGGTTCTTCTTTAAGCTCTTGGGCCTCTGTGAGTGCTGGAGTTTATTGAATGTTTTGGGTAGAGATCGGAAGCCAGATTGCAATTATTTGGCTAAACAAACCTGACAATACAGGTACCTAGATTACCAAGGCTACTACATATATTTTTTTCATTCTGAAAATATGTTCACTTTCATGCCCCATTGTGTATTTGTTCTGTGTTATTCTTTTTCTCAAATAGAGCTCTCCAACTTTCATAAGATTTTGGTCTCCTCAAACCTAAATCCTTATCCCGGGGGGAAAAATGAGATTAAAGATCTCTGCTAAACCGATCACTAATTTATAACGTAGAACGCTTATATGACTTATCTATTGCCATTTTCATGCTAATAACCCTCAAAACTCAGTGACATAGAACAATGAGCATTTGTTTAGCTCAGGTCTATAGGGGAGTGATTTCATCTAGGCTCACTCACAAGCCTAGAGTCACTGTCAGGAAGCTGAGCTAGGATGCCTTTAGCTTTGATGACTGGGGTGACTTGGCTCATTCCACATGTTTCTCATCCTCTAGTGGGCTATACTGGGAATGTTCTCACAGTAATGGCACAGAGAAAGGGTAAGTAGAGGAAATACACACTAACTTGTTCAAGCATCTCTGTATCCCATCGAGTAATGCCTCATTGACCAAATCAAATCATATAGATGGTGTAACAGAATCAAGGGGGCAAAAATGACTTGTTGTAACTTTGGAAATTGTTAATTAGGATATATTCCGTCCTTACCTTTTAAAGATACATATTGAGATATTTGCTGTTGAAATTACATGAAGTCTTGAATTTGCTTCAAAATACTATAAAGAAAAGAAAATGGATGGGATGAGATGAAGCAAGACTGATAATGAGTTGATAAATTGTATGGCTGGGAGATGAGTACACGGTGTTCATTCTACTGTTCTCTTGACTTTTGCACACATTTCAGGGGAGGCTTTATCAGTCATTTATTTCATTAAGCATATAGGGGATATTTTTAGCGATAATGTACTCTTTTACTTATAATTGTGTTATTATAATATATAATGTCTAGAGAAATTTGGAGAATATATATTAGCTGATAAAATATTATTTAATTGTATTTAAAAAGAATATATGTCTTATCCAATACATATCTTTAAGGTTATGTTTATTTCTGGTCAATTTCAACATGAGTTTGTGTATTAACAGTGATTTATTGAGTACCATCTGTGCACCATGCCCATTTCTAGGCTCTGGCCATAGAGAATGAAACAGATGAATGGGGTTTCTGATCTTGAGGTTTTCATGGTTGTATTAGTCTTCTATCACCGCCTTAACAAAGTTCCATAATATTGATGGCTTAACCAGTACAAAAATAATATCTTGTAATTCTTAAGTCAGAAATTCAATATGGGACTCATTGGGCTTAAATCCAGGTGTTGGCAGGTCTGCATGTCTTTCTGAAAGCTCTAGGGGAGAATCAGCTTCCTTGCATTTTCTGTGCTCTAGAGATCACCCACATTCCTTGACTTGTGATTCCTTTCTTCCATCTTCAAAACCAGCAGTGTCGCACCCATCTGTGATTTTCTTCCACAATCACATGTCTATCTGAATGACTACAGTCAGGAAAGTTTCTCTACTTGTAAGGGTTCCTGTGATTAGATTAGGCATACCTGTCCAATCTAGGATAATCGCTCCATCTCAAGGTCCTTAAATTTAACCACATCTAGAACCACATCCCTTTTTTCATGTTAGGTAACGTATTTCAAGTTTCAGATTTGAGAATGTTGACATCTTTGGAAGGCCATTTTTCTGCCTATCACAATAGGTAAATGCTGGGAAGAAGCAAATTAATTAATTAAATAATTAAGCAAAATAGACATTTTCAGACACTGATATATACTATAAAAGTCTGTAAAAGAGTGATACAATAGTCAATGATTTGCAACTTGTGCGTAAGAGAAGGCCTCACTAAGGAAGAGACATTTAAACTGAGGCTTCTGACAAATAGAGATCACCTTGCAAAGTGATGTAGGCAGGTAATTCCCAGTTAAGGCAAAGCTAATGTAAAAGTCCAAGGTGGGAGAATAGAAAGAAGGCAAATGGGCTAGATCCTAGAGAGCTAAGGGGAAAGTAGCATTTCATGAGGTTGGAGAGTTAGTAAGAGTCCAGATTTTTTGGCTTATTTATTGTCTGATTTACCCTGTTGTAGGTTCTGAACTTTGTACAAATTGCCAAGGAAAGCTAAGTAGAGAAAGGAAATAATCTGATTTATGTTTAAAAGTAATATCTGGCCGCTTGGTGGATAATAAACTGTAGCTTTCTGTTCTCCATAGCACCTATCATGACCTTGGCTGTTAAGTCCTAAATTAGTAATTTAATTAAAATTCCTATGTTATTTAGCAAAATACTCTTTGTAAATTAATATGTTTAAGTTTTGAAAATAATCCAGTATGAGATTTTGGAACTGATACTGAAAAGCTAAGTAAAATTGGATGAACTTAATTATTTCTGTTAAATAAGAACTACATTCTTCCTTCAGTAGAGATAATTCTGATATTTGGTATTTACTCAAAGGTTCAAATAGGAATATGAACAATGTATGTACATATATTTTTAACAAATCCTAGTATATGGGATATGTCATCATATTTTTAAAGCTAAAGAAGAAAATAAATTATACACTATGCTATTGTTTCAAAACTAGAGCTATTGTTTAAATTTATAGGGATACAGTAACAATTTTACAAGGTTTATTTTGTATCTATAGATTAAAATTCATAGAAATGGCAGGAGCTGGATGAAAGCAACAATATCTTATCAGCATGTACACTATTTTGATGAATGGGAGAGAATGATCCATGTTTATGGCATACACTGTGCTAAACAGATAAACTGTGGAGATTTCTGTTGTAATATATTCTGCTCAAAGGATCAGCCTGTAGGCCAGGCACGGTGGCTCACGCCCGTAATCCTAGCACTTTGGGAAGCCGAGTTGGGCGAATCACAAGGTCAGGAGTTCGAGACCAGCCTCACCAACATGGTAAAACCCCGTCTCTACTAAAAATCCAAAAAAGTAGCTGGGCATGGTGGCAGGCACCTGTAATCCCAGCTACTCGAGAGACTGAGGCAGGAGAATCACTTGAACCTGGGAGGTGGAGGTTGCAGTGAGCCAAGATCGTGCCACTCCACTCCAGCCTGGGTGACAGTGCAAGACTCCATCTCAAAACAAAAAACAACAAACAACAAACAAACAAAAAAAACGCACAAAAAAATCAGCCTGTAAGCAGTTACGTAATTAGGGGTAGTTTAGGTGGTAAAAAATTTGCACACATTAGAAGGTAGTAGATAGAGAGAAACCAAAATACCAAAGTTGACTACAGAAGATGCATATTAACCTCCACCCCTGCCCTACTCATCCTATCAGAACTAAGGTACCAAGTTCACTTTTTGGCAATAAAAAGTTCTAAAATATATTCTCTTACATATGGCTTCAATATACATCCATCTGTCTAGGCTCCATGATACACATATATATCCAGCCTAGCACTCTGGTGAGATTTGGAAACTTGATAATATCAAATTAAAATTTAGGATGTACATTTTGAGAAATAAAATTACAGTAGAATTTTTTAAAATTGTATTTTTATTTGCAAGACGGATACTTTTAACAAATTATTGTATAATTACATAAAGGTAAGTTTGCAGAATTCATGATAATTTTGAGGTTATGTGCTTTAATACAATGTGAAACCGATTTTTATTTCTATTGAAGCCATCAAGACATGTCTATATGTGTGTGTATGTGTGTGTATGTAAAAGGTTACAGAATAAGTTTATAACCACACACTCCTAAGGAAATTTTTGATATAATATTTGTCAATAATTAAAAACAAACGTAACCTAAATTTTAAATACAAATCCCCATTTTCTTTGGGCACCAGGACTGTTTCTGATGCAGTTCATGTTTACTGTACTAACAGTTATGGCATTTCCAGTTTCCTTCAATAATCCGCATTCAAAATAATAGCTAATTCATTGGAAATAGACATTCTTTCTGAATACTCCTGTAAAATTAAAATAATTAACCCATCATTATGGAAGAATGTCTTTCCATACAATTTGAACAGAATCTATTATTGCATCAGCTTTCCATAAATAAAGATATAACAGAAACTAAAGCATTTTCTTTCACCCTCTACCCCAATGAATGAATAAGAAGAAGCGACACTCAACAAAGTGCTTTATTTTCTACTTCCTTTTTAATATCCTCTTTGTTTTCTGAAGACCAAGAAAAAGTAATAGAGCAATTAATCATATGATATTCCTCTCCTGACAGCACTGGCCTCTTATGATATTTATCGCTGTGCTACTAAGCCTCTTTCTGCGACATCCTCTAGCTTGTCACAGCTTTCCCAGTAACTCTATATGCTATCAATTATTCAGCACAAGCAGCACTATGCATCCCTTCAAGGATGATTATTTAGGAAGAGAAATCAATAAACAGAAAGTCCATTAAAACCCATGTAGTAATAAAAGATAACAGGACGATTATAATCTGCCCTGTGCCTTGCAAAAAAGGAGTTATCAAAAACCAGTTAGAGTTAACTTGCACTGGTAACATAATATTTATTTATTTATTTATTTATTTATTTTGTTTTTATTTTTTTGAGATGGAATTTCCCTCTTGTTGCCCAGGCTGTAGTGCAACGGCCCAGTCTCAGCTCACCGCAACTTCTGCCTCCCAGGTTCAAGCGATTCTCCTGCCTCAGCCTGTGGAGTAGCTGAGATTACAGGTGCGCACCACAACACCTGGCTAATTTTTGTATTTTTAGTAGAGATGGGGTTTCACCATGTTGGTCAGGCTGGTCTCAAACTCCTGACCTTAATGATCCACCCGCCTCGGCCTCCCAAAGTGCTGGGATTATAGGCATGAGCCATCGCGCCCAGCCTATATTTTTTAATAGTAAAGCTTTATTACCTGAAGGCTCCAACTTGCTAATAGATTCTTTGGAGGGGATACAAGTTTGTTTTCCAGTAAGAGAAATTTTAAACTTTCAAATCTTGTTTGTGTCCTCTTTTATTTCGTTGAGCAGTGGTTTGTAGTCCTCCTTGAAGAGGTCCTTCACATCCCTTGTAAGTTGGATTCCTAGGTATTTTATTTTCTTTGAAGCAATTGTGAATGGGAATTCACTCATGATTTGGCTCTCTGTTTGTCTGTTATTGGTGTATAAGAATGCTTGTGATTTTTGCACATTGGTTTTGTATACTGAGACTTTGCTGAAGTTGCTTATCAGCTTAAGGAGATTTTGGGTTAAGACGATGGGGTTTTCTAAATATGCAGTCATGTCATCTGCAAACAGGGACAATTTGACTTCCTTTTTCCTAATTGAATACCCTATATTTCTTTCTCCTGACTGATTTCCCTGGCCAGAACTTCCAACACTATGTTGAATAGGAGTGGTGAGAGAGGGCATCCCTGTCTTGTGCCAGTTTTCAAAGGGAATGCCTCCAGTTTTTGCCCATTCAGTATGATATTGGCTGTGGGTTTGTCATAAATAGCTCTTGTTATTTTGAGATATGTCCCATCAATACCTAATTTATTGAGAGTTTTAGCATGAAGGGCTGTTGAATTTTGTCAAAGGCCTTTTCTGCGTCTATTGAGATAATCATGTGGTTTTTGTCTTTGGTTCTGTTTATATGCTGGATTACATTTATTGATTTTCATATGTTGAACCAGTCTTGCATCCCAGGGATGAAGCCCACTTGATCATGGTGGATAAGCTTTTTGATGTGCTGCTGGATTCGGTTTGCCAGTATTTTATTGAGGATTTTTGCATCGATGTTCATCAGGGATATTGGTCTAAAATTCTCTTTTTTTGTTGTGTCTCTGCCAGGCTTTGGTATCAGGATGTTGCTGGCCTCATAAAATAAGTTAGGGAGGATTCCCTCTTTTTCTATTGATTGGAATAGTTTCAGAAGGAATGGTACCAGCTCCTCCTTGTACCTCAGGTAGAATTCAGCTGTGAATCCATCTGGTCTTGGACTTTTTTTGGTTGGTAAGATATTAATTGTTGCCTGAATTTCAGAGCCTGTTATTGGTGTATTAAGAGATTCAACTTCTTCCTGGTTTAGTCTTGGGAGGGTGTATGTGTCGAGGAATTTATCCATTTCTTCTAGATTTTCTAGTTTATTTGCGTAGAGGTGTTTATAGTATTCTCTGATGGCAGTTTGTATTTCTGTGGAATCGGTGGTGATATCCCCTTTGTCATTTTTTATTGTGTCTATTTGATTCTTCTCTCTTTTCTTCTTTATGAGTCTTGCTAGCGGTCTATCAATTTTGTTGATCTTTTCAAAAAACCAGCTCCTGGATTCGTTGATTTTTTTGAGTCTCTATCTCCTTCGGTTCTGCTCTGACCTTAGTTATTTCTTGCCTTCTGCTAGCTTTCGAATGTGTTTGCTCTTGCTTCTCTAGAGGACACAAACAAATGGAAGAACATTCCATGCTCATGGATAGGAAGAATCAATATCATGATAATGGCCATACTGCCCAAGGTAATTTATAGATTCAATGCCATCCCAATCAAGCTACCAATGACTTTCTTCACAGAATTGGAAAAAACTACTTTAAAGTTCATATGGAACCAAAAAAGAGCCCACATCGCCAAGTCAATCCTAAGCCAAAAGAACAAAGCTGGAGGCATCACGCTACCTGACTTCAAACTATACTACAAGGCTACAGTAACCAAAACAGCATGGTACTGGTACCAAAACAGAGATACAGACCAATGGAATAGAACAGAGCCCTCAGAAATAATACCACACATCTACAACCATCTGATCTTTGACAAACCTGACAAAAACAAGAAATGGGGAAACGATTCCCTATTTAATAAATGGTGCTGGGAAAACTGGTTAGCCATATGTAGAAAGCTGAAACTGGATCCCTTCCTCACATTTATACAAAAATTAATTCAAGGTGGATTAAAGACTTAAATGTTGCCGGGCGCGGTGGCTCACGCCTGTAATCCCAGCACTTTGGGAGGCCGAGGCGGGTGGATCACGAGGTCAGGAGATCGAGACCACGGGGAAACCCCGTCTCTACTAAAAATACAAAAAATTAGCCGGGCGCAGTGGCGGGCTCCTGTAGTCCCAGCTACTCGGGAGGCTGAGGCAGGAGAATGGTGTGAACCCGGAAGGCAGAGCTTGCAGTGAGCGGAGATCGCGCCACAGCACTCCAGCTTGGGAGACAAAACGAGACTCCGTCTCAAAAAAAAAAAAAAAAAAAAAAAAAGACTTAAATGTTAGACCTAAAACCATAAAAACCCTAGAAGAAAACCTAGGCAATACCATTCAGGACATAGGCATGGGCAAGGACTTCATGACTAAAACACCGAAAGCGATGGCAACAAAAGCCAAAATTGACAAATCGGATCTAATTAAACTAAAGAGCTTCTGCACAGCAAAAGAGACTACCCTCAGAGTGAATAGGCAGCCTACAGAATGGGAGAAAATTTTTGCAATCTACTCATCTGAGAAAGGGCTAATATCCAGAATCTACAAAGAACTCAAACAAATTTACAAGAAAACAAACAAACAACCCCATCACCAAGTGGGCAAAGGATATGAACAGACACTTCTCATAAGAAGACATTTATGCAGCCAACAGACACATGAAAAAATGCTCATCATCACTGGCCATCAGAGAAATGCAAATCAAAACCACAATGAGATACCATCTCACACCAGTTAGAATGGCGATCATTAATAAGTCAGGAAACAACAGGTGCTGGAGAGGATGTGGAGAAATAGGAACACTTTTACACTGTTGGTGGGACTGTAAACTAGTTCAACCATTGTGGAAGTCAGTGTGGTGATTCCTCAGGGATCTAGAACTAGAAATACCACTTGACCCAGCCATCCCATTACTGGGTATATACCCAAAGGACTATAAATCATGCTGCTATAAAGACACATGCACACGTATGTTTATTGTGGAACCATTCACAATAGCAAAGGCTTGGAACCAACCCAAATGTCCAACAATGATAGACTGGATTAAGAAAATGTGGCACATATACACCATGGAATACTATGCAGCCATAAAAATGATGAGTTCATGTCCTTTGTTGGGCCATGGGTGAAGCTGGAAACCATTATTCTCAGTAAACTATCGCAAGGACAAAAAACGAAACACCGCATGTTCTTACTCATAGGTGGGAATTGAACAATGAAAACACTTGGACACAGGAAGGGGAACATCACACACTGGGGCCTGTCATGGGGTGGGGGTGGAGGATGGGGGGAGGGATATCATTAGGAGATAT